>NC_000008.11:3385135-3687420 GCF_000001405.40 Homo sapiens | reverse complement strand
TTTTCCAGCCTAAAATTAGAAATGCAGAGTTCCATATCCCTGCTCACCATGGATTTTAATAGAAAGGGGACAGAGTCAGCCTTCTGCAGCCTTACATGGAGCAGATCACCTTTTCATCCATCATACATGGGGTAACCACAGACTTTTTTGGTCCTGGAAATGCTAAGCTGGACTTAAAAGCAACAAAGTGAATGTGGACCTGCCCTGGGCAAACCAAGATGGAAGGTTGCCTTCCTATGAGCTGCACGGAGGTGCGTTCAGAGGTGTGATGCTTATATCATGCTTGTATTTCTGGTTTTAAATTAGTATAGGATCCTGCATTTTATTGGACATACATTTGGTATTTGATATCCAATACTGTCACATCCTCATAATTTTTTTACATCTGCCATCCACCCCTACTTGACCAGTCACATCTCTCCTGAATGTCCTGATACGTTTGAACAAGCTTCTTCTATGTGGATATGGAAAAGACACCCCCCAGTGTAGGGGAGACAAAGCTCTACTCTGTCCTCTTACGGCCCAAGAATGAAATCGACATAAGAAAGATTAACAGGAGAAAAGCATGCAGGTTTATTTAATGCAAATTTCATGTGGCCTGGGAGCCCTCATAAGGAAATGAAGATCCAAAGAAACAGTTACAACCAGCCACTGATAGACTGGCTTGGACAAAGAATATTTGCTTGTGAAACGTGGCAAGGCCAAGGGACTTGGGCGAGGGTAAGGGATCGGCTAGAGAAGTGACCAGGTGGATAAGTGTTAGTGTAGCAAGGTTTGTTTGTATAGATATCCCTGGGCTTCAGTTTTCTGTGCTTGATGATAAGAACACTGCTTCCCTTTTGGTATCAAGACAGTATATTTCGTATGGGAATTCTATCTCCTGCTTTCAATGAACAGAATGACATGATCTTGTAACTGGCTTTTTTTTAAGCGTCTTTAATTTAAACATGCCAGAGCAGCATATGGTGGGGTGGCATATTCTTAACCCATCCACCAGCAAATAGAGAAGTCACGCAGGATGCAACTCTCATCGTCAGTGTGGCGGCACCTCCCTATCCTAGAAAAGTGAAGACAAGCGTAGAGAAGTGAAGGCGCTTCCTGAAAGTCACAGTGTTAGCTGTCAATGACACGTCTCTTGACACTGCCTTTCCTAGCTTGTATTCCAAGCGCTCTGATTATCCACGAAGTCAGTAACTCAAGGGGGTGACCCACACTCTAACTTCACAGAAACAAGCCCAAGCTTAATTTCAAATAAGAATTTTGAAACCTACCTAATAGTCCCATAGACAGTTTTTTTTTCTTTTTGATAAACATAGAAAACTGACCCTTCTGATGGTTATCAGAGGCTGATAAGAATAGTGAGGGGTGGGGGCAAGGAGCATTGGTTGGTTAATGGGTACAAAATACAGAAAGAAAGAAAGAATAATATATTTTATTTGGTAGCAAAATGGGAAAGGGTGAATATAGTAAAAAATAATTGTACTTTTAAAAATAACTAAAAGAGTGTATTGGATTGTTTGTAACACGAACAATAAATGTTTGATGGGATGGATACCCCATTCTCCATGATGTGATTATTTTACGTCGCATGCCTGTGTCAAAACATCTCATGTACTTTATAAATGTATATAACTTCAATGTACCCATAGAAATTAAAAATAAAGCAATAAAACATGTTATAAAAAAAAAGAAAGAAATTGACCCTTCTGATCTTAAGGCTTGAAATTGCATTGATTTTCTTTGACTTCCTTCCTCAGAAAAGCACCCCCAGGCCTCTAAAAACAGTCTCAAAGAAATGAAACTCACCAGATCACCATATCCAGGCAATGAGATGCCAGATGCTTCACTCCTGTTTTGTAACCCGTTGTTACATTTTTCTTCCTGTTATATAAACCCCTAATTTTAGTAGGTCAGGGAGGTGGATTTGAGTCTGAGCTCCCATCTCCTTCGGCTGCAGCATCCGATTAAAGCCTTCTTCCTTGGCAGTAATCGTGATCTCAGTCATTGGCATTCTGTGCAGTGAGCAGCAGGACCCAGACAGGACCCCTGGTGTTTAGGTAACAGTTTGATGATGTGTAATGAAGATTCAAAAAATTTTTACAGGGGGAAAGACAACTAGACTGCCGAGTCATTAAACTCAACGTAATGGGTACAATTAGCCCTGAGGCAACTTTATTTTATAGTCACTATTTTTGGTGTAAAACAAGGGCAGTGGCTTCAATTTTGCAACTTTGGATTTGATTTTATCCATCAATTTAAATGTGACTGAAATGATGACATCAAAACACTTTAAAAATCCAGCCATGCATTTTCTATAATGAACCCAGTAAATCGTTTTATAATGAAGACATCTCTTATTTTTATTTCAAAAACTGGGCTTGGATGATGCTGATCCTTCTAAGTGGAGCTCACTTCAGTCCAAAAATATTGATTCCCGTATTGACTTTCCTACCACAGGTTATTCCAAAGGCAGTTTAATTGTCCACTTTGGCCAAGTGCTTCCCGGCATCATTACAAATTTCAGAAGAGAATTTAGAACTGCAATAAAGTATGTAAGAATTCTGAATGTAATAAGAGTCGTGATGGAAATACTAGTTTGGAATATGATCTATAGCAAGGAGAATGAGGGTGACTAAAATTAGGCTGCCGTCAAGCTCTGACTCTATTTTAAAACTGTATCAGGTCCCAGCTACTCCTCTGGAGGCTGAGGCAGGAGAATGGCGTGAACCTGCGAGGCGGAGCTAGCAGTGAGCGGAGATAGCGCCACTGCACTCCAGCCTGGGCGAGAGAGCGAGACTCCGTCTAAAAAAAAAAAAAAAAAAAAGACTGTATCAGTATCTGCAACTGGGTTCAACAATGATGATATAGAAAGACAGTGCCATTTGTTTCTAGATGGCCAGTAAAAAAGATAAAATATATGTTCATAATTAGCAAGCAAAGAAAAATCCCAAAACCTATATCTAAATAAAATTGTTAAGTACTATGAGTCATGCAGATGAAAAAAATATATTTTGTATATATGTACTTATATGTTATACATTTTATATATTATGTAATATACAACATGCTTGTATGTTTTATATAATATATAACATATAGCTATATATTTTATATAATATATAATTTATATATTATATATAATATATAACATATAGCTATATATTTTATATAATATATAAATTATATATTATATATTATGTTATATATTATATATAATTACATGTTATATATATTACATGTAACATGTAAATATATATTATATAAATTATAACATATAGGCATTATATATTATATAAATTATATATTATATAATATATAATATCTATACATTTAAAGTTGCTTTTTTCATGTTTAGAGTAACTATCACTACATTAAAATAGAAAGACTGTCTCTTTGGTGTTAGTCCATTAATTTGAATGTGTTCTAATGAGTTACTTCATACTTCTCAATCACATGAAGCAAAAGGTGTGCATTGTCCTAAATTTGCTAAAACTTAGTGGTCTAACAGTCATTTTTTGAAATCAATAAACATCAAATAAAAATAAGCAAACTGCGAGCTTAACATTCATGAATATTCTTTACATCTTAGAATGATTACGCAAACATTGGTTTTATCAAGTTAACACAAAGCAGATGTGGTTTAACTGGAAGAACATAACATTTTAGGTCTGGAGACCTGGGTTTGAGTTGAACCTACTAGTTGTAGGAGCTTGAGCCTCTTTCTGTCTAGTGTGGAAAAGAGATGACAACCTCACAGGATAATTATAGGTATTAAATTAAAAGAGTATGCACATGTTTTCAGCGGAAGACCTGGCAGAAGAATGATATTCAAAAAAGTGCTTTAAACATATTTCATTTTTCTTTTGGTTTCAAATGATTTTTTGGCACAGTGCAGAAATACCTCCCCCTCCAAGTGAGAGGAGGGCTGACAGGTACCTATGAACACCCCTCCAGAAATGGAGGATTCTAATTCTGAATTCCCTTTAGGCAGATAGTTTCAAACCATTGCCTGTAATTACTTTAGTGATAAGGATGCAGTGCCCAGAATAAACAGCTCACTCGTGGTTGTATAAAAGAATAAATAAGAGAACACAATGAAAGAACTTTGCCTTGACTGATCCATCCATATTCTGGGTCCACAGGCTATTCACAGGGGTCACTGTCTTTATTTTTTTATTTATTTTTTATTATTTTATTTTTTAATTTTATATATTTATATGTATATTTCTTATTATACTTCTAGGGTACAAGTGCACAACGTGCAGGTTTGTTACATATGTATACATGTGCCATGTTGGTGTGCTGCACCCATTAGCTTGTCATTTAGCATTAGGTATATCTCCTAATGCTATCCCTTCCCTCTACCCCCACCCCACAACAGTCCCTGGTGTGTGATGTTCCCCTTCCTGTGTCCATGTGTTCTCATTGTTCAGTTCCCACGTATGAGTGACAACATGCAGTGTTTGGTTTTTGGTCCTTGCGATAGATAGTTTGCTGAGAATGATGGTTTCCAGCTTCATCCATGTTTCTACAAATGACATGAACTCTTCATTTTTTATGGCTACATAGTATTCCATGGTGTATATGTGCCACATTTTCTTAATCCCATCTGTCATTGTTGGACATTTAGGTTGGATCCAAGTCTTTGCTATTGTGAATAGTGCCGCAATAAACATACGTGTGCATGTGTCTTTATAACAGCATGATTTTTAATCTTTTGGGTATATACCCAGTAATGGGATGGCTGGATCAAATGGTATTTCTAATTCTAGATCCCTGAGGAATCACCACACTGTCTTCCACAATGGTTGAACTAGTTTACAGTCCCACCAACAGTGTCAAAGTGTTCCTATTTCTCCACATCCTCTCCAGCACCTGTTGTTTCCTGACTTTTTAATGATCGCCATTCCAACTGTTGTGAGATGGTATCTCATTGTGGTTGTGATTTGCATTTCTCTGATGGCCGGTGATGATGAGCATTTTTTCATGTGTCTGTTGGCTGCATAAAGGTCATCTTTTGAGAAGTGTCTGTTCATGTCCTTCACCCACTTGTTGATGCGGTTGCTTGTTTTTTTCTTGTAAATTTGTTTGGGTTCTTTGTAAATTCTGGATATTAGCCCTTTGTCAGATGAGTAGATTGCAAAAATTTTATCCCATTTTTTAGGTTGCCTGTTCACTCTGATGGTAGTTTCTTGTGCTGTGCAGAAGCTCTTTAGTTTAATTAGATCCCATTTGTCAATTTTGGCTTTTGTTGCCATTGCTTTTGGTGTTTTAGACATGAAGTCCTTGCCCATGCCTATGTCCTGAATAGTATTGCCTAGGTTTTCTTCTAGGGTTTTTACGATTTTAGGTCTAACATTTAAGTCTTTAATCCATCTTGAATTAATTTTTGTATAAGGTGTAAGGAAGGGATCCAGTTTCACCTTTCTACATATGGCTAGCCAGTTTTCCCAGCACCATTTGTTGAATAGGGAATCCTTTCCCCATTTCTTGTTTTTGTCAGATTTGTCAAAGATCAGATAGTCGTAGATGTGTGGTATTATTTCTGAGGGCTCTGTTCTGTTCCATTGGTCTATATCTCTGTTTTGGTACCAGTACCATGCTGTTTGGGTTACTGTAGCCTTGTAGTATAGTTTAAAGTCAGGTAGTGTGATGCCTCCAGCTTTGTTCTTTTGGCTTAGGATTGACTTGGCAATGCGGGCTCTTTTTTGGTTCCACATGAACTTTAAAGTAGTTTTTTTCCAATTCTGTGAAGAAAGTCATTGGTAGCTTGATGGGGATGGCATTGAATCTATAAATTACCTTGGGCAGTATGGCCATTTTGACGATATTTACTCTTCCTATCCATAAGCATGGAATGTTCTTCCATTTGTTTGTATCCTCTTTTATTTCATTGAGCAGTGGTTTGTAATTCTCCTTGAAGAGGTCCTTCACATCCCTTGTAAGCTGGATTCCTAGGTATTTTATTCTCTTTGAAACAATTGTCAATGGGAGTTCACTCATGATTTGGCTCTCTGTTTGTCTGTTATTGGTGTATAAGAATGCTTGTGATTTTTGCACATTGATTTTGTATCCTGAGACTTTGCTGAAGTTGCTTATCAGCTTAAGGAGATTTTGTGCTGAGATGATGGGGTTTTCTAAATATACAATCATGTCATCTGCAAAGAGGGACGATTTGACTTCCTCTTTTCCTAATTGAATATCCTTTATTTCCTTCTCCTGCCTAATTGCCCTGGCCAGAACTTCCAACACTATGTTGAATAGGAGTGGTGAAAGAGGGCATCCCTGTCTTGTGCCAGTTTTCAAAGGGAATGCTTCCAGTTTTTGCCCATTCAGTATGATATTGGCTGTGGGTTTGTCTTAAATAGCTCTTATTAGTTTGAGATACGTCCCATCAATACCTAATTTATTGAGAGTTTTTAGCATGAAGGGCTGTTGAATTTTGTCAAAGGCTTTTTCTGCATCTGTTGAGATAATCATGTGGTTTTTGTCATTGGTTCTGTTTATATGCTGGATTACGTTTACTGATTTGCGTATATTGAACCAGCCTTGCATCCCAGGGATGAAGCCCACTTGATCATGGTGGATAAGCTTTTTGATGTGCTGCTGAGTTCGGTTTGCCAGTATTTTATTGAGAATTTTTGCATCAATGTTCATCAGGGATATTGGTCTAAAATTCTCTTTTTTGGTTGTGTCTCTGCCCGGCTTTGGTATCAGGATGATGTTGGCCTCATGAAATGAGTTAGGGAGGAGTCCCTCTTTTTTCTATTGATTGGAATAGTTTCAGAAGGAATGGTACCTGCTCCTCTTTGTACGTCTGATAGAAATCGGCTGTGAATCCATCTGGTCCTGGACTTTTTTTGGTTGGTAAGCTATTAATTATTACCTCAATTTCAGAGCCTGTTATTGGTCTATTCAGAGATTCAACTTCTTCCTGGTTTAGTCTTGGGAGGGTGTATGTGTCAAGGAATTTCTCTGTTTCTTGTAGATTTTCTAGTTCATTTGCGTAGAGGTGTTAATAGTATTCTCTGATGGTAGTTTGTATTTCTGTGGGATCAGTGGTGATATACCCTTTGTCATTTTTTATTGCGTCTATTTGATTCTTCTCTCTTTTCTTCTTTATTAGTCTTGCTAGTGGTCTATCAATTTTGTTGATCTTTTCAAAAAACCAGCTCCTGGATTCATCGATTTTTTGAAGGGTTTTTTTGTATCTCCATCTCCTTCATTTCTGCTCTGATCTGAGTTGTTTCTTGCCTTCTGCTAGTTTTTGAATGTGTTTGCTCTTGCTTCTCTAGTTGTTTCAATTGTGATGTTATGGTGTCGATTATAGGTCTTTCCTGCTTTCTCTTGTGGGCATTTAGTGTTATAAATTTTCCTCTACACACTGCTTTAAATGTGTCCCAGAGATTCTGGCATGTTGTGTCTTTGTTCTCGTTGGTTTCAAAGAACATCTTTATTTCTGCCTTCATTTCGTTATGTACCCAGTAGTCATTCAGGAGCAAGTTGTTCAGTTTCCAAGTAGTTGTGTGGTTTTGAGTGAGTTTCTTAATCCTGAGTTCTTGTTTGATTGCACTGTGGTCTGAGATACAGTTTGTTATAATTTCGCTTCTTTTACATTTGCTGAGGAGAGCTTTACTTCCAACTATGTGGTCAATTTTGAAATAAGTGTGGTGTGATGCTGAGAAGAATGTATATTCTGTTGATTTGGGGTGGAGAGTTAGGTAGATGTCTATTAGGTCTGCTTGGTGCAGAGCTCAGTTCAATTCCTGGATATCCTTGTTAACTTGCTGTCTTGTTGATCTGTCTGATGTTGACAGTGGGGTGTTAAAGACTCCCATTATTATTGTGTGGGAGTCTAAGTCTCTCTGTAGGTCTCTAAGGACTTGCTTTATGAATCTGGGTGCTCCTGTATTGGGTGAATATATATTTAGGATAGTTAGCTCTTCTTGTTGAATTGATCCCTTTACCATTACGTAATGGCTTTCTTTGTCTCTTTTGATCTTTGTTGGTTTAAAGTCCCTTTTATCAGAGACTAGGATTGCAACCCCTGCCTTTTTTTGTTTTCCATTTGCTTGGTAGATCTTCCTCCATCCCTTTATTTTGAGCCTATGTGTGTCTCTGCACATGAGATGGGTTTCCTGAATACAACACACTGATGGGTCTTGACTCTTTATCCAATTTGCCAGTCTGCGTCTTGTAATTGGAGCATTTAGCCCATTTGCATTTAAGGTTAATATTGTTATGTGTGAATTTGATCCTGTCATTATGATGTTAGCTGGTTATTGTGCTCATTAGTTGATACAGTTTTCTTCCTAGCCTCGATGGTCTTTACAATTTGGCATGTTTTTGCAGTGGCTAGTACCAGTTGTTCCTTTCCATGTTTAGTGCTTCTTCAGGAGGTCTTTTAGGGGAGGTCTGGTGGTGGCAAAATCTCTCAGCATTTGCTTGTCTGTGAAGTATTTTATTTCTTCACTTATGAAGCTTAATTTGGCTGGATATGAAATTCTGGGTTGAAAATTGTTTTCTTTAAGAATGTTGAATATTGGCCCCCAGTCTTTTCTGGCTTGTAGACTTTCTGCTGAGAGATCAGCTGTTAGTCTGATGGGCTTCCCTTTGTGGGTAACCCGACCTTTCTCTCTGGCTGCACTTAACATTTTTTCCTTCATTTCAGCTTTGGTGAATCTGACAATTATGTGTCTTGGAGTTGCTCTTCTCGAGGAGTATCTTTGTGGCGTCCTCTGTGTTTCCTGAATTTGCATGTTGGCCTGCCTTGCTAGGTTGGGGAAGTTTTCCTTGATAATGTCCTGCAGAGTGTTTTCCAACTTGTTTCCATTCTCCCCGTCACTCTCAGGTACACCAATCAGACATAGATTTGGTCTTTTCACATAGTCCCATATTTCTTGGAGGCTTTGTTCATTTCTTTTTATTCCTTTTTCTCTAAACTTCTCTTCTTACTTCATTTCATTCATTTGATCTTCAGTCACTGATACCCTTTCTTCCAGTTGATCGAATCGGCTGTTCAAACTTGTGCATTCATCACGTAGTTCCCGTGCCATGGTTTTCAGCTCCATCAGGTCCTTTAAAGACTTCTCTGCATTGGTTATTCTAGTTAGCCATTCGTCTAATCATTTTTCAAAGTTTTTAACTTCTTTGCGATGGGTTCGAACTTCCTCCTTTAGCTCGGAGAAGTTTGATCATCTGAAACCTTCTTCTCTCAGCTCATCAAAGTCATTCTCCGTCCAGCTTTGTTCTGTTGCTGGTGAGGAGCTGCATTCCTCAGCTGGAAATGCAGAAATCACCTGTCTTCTGCGTCGCTCACTCTGGGAGCTGTAGACTGGAGCTGTTCCTATTCAGCCATCTTTGAACCACCCTCCCACTGTCTTTAAATATTGACAGAACGCTTTGAAGATAGGCAGACACCCCAGATGGAGGCTGTGAGTCCCTGCACCAAGTCAGTGTTTCTGCTCCTCAAGTGCATTCCTGTCTTATTTTGTCTAATACAAACAGCTCTATTAGTGGGAGGTGTTTCATGATGGAAAAAAAGGGCTGAAATGGCTTCAGCAAGGGGGTTTAGAGTTAAAGAATGTTATTGAAATATGCAGTTTTATGTCATCTACTGGTTTTAAAAAATTGCACATATACTCTGGATAGAAGTTTTCATTTCCGTTTTACAAAGTTTAGGGCTTTTTTCCAAAAGACAGACTTCCAGAACAAAACAGGGGAATTTACCCAGCTCTGGCCAAAGAGCCCTAAAGGATAGATATCTTTTCATGTCAATAGCTGGAGGTTTTGCTTAAAAGAGAGGTTCTAAACTCAGAGGGCCAATCTTAGGCTTTCGTGAATCTAAGACATCTCCAAACCCTTCTGGGTGCCTCTCGCTGAGCCCAGCCACCCTGGGGACACCTGGGCATTCCCTGTGTCTCCTGATGTCTTCTGTGGTGCTCAGATCTGTGCATTCACCCAGGACTTTCCTGACAACCTGTACTGTGGGATCAGGTTTGTTTCCCATGCATTGGCCTTGAACTGGGTATGTTTTCTTGTGTGGGAGGCAAATAACTGCTTATTTATTCAAGAATTACTTTTAAAAGGTATAGATGGTTATTAAGTCATTTTGTTACATCAATCATTAGTTGGAACCATAACTTTCCTGGGAGAGAAATTTTCGATGCATGCTATTAATCTTGGACTTTTAAGCGGTGTTTTCCTTGTGTGTATTTCTATAAGTCTTATATACGTGTTTCTTTTATTTTTATTTTACTTTAAGTTCTGGGTTACATGTGCAGAATGTGCAGGCTTGTTACATAGAACTACATGTGTCATGGTTTTTGTTGCACCTATCTACCCAATGTCTAGTTTTTAAGCCCCGTATGCATTAGGTATTTGTTCTAATGCTCTCCCTCCCCTTGCCCCCAACCCCGCAACAGGCCCCGGTCCATGATGTTCCCCTCCCTGTGTCCTTGTGTTGTCATTGTTTAACTCCCACTTATGAGTGTGAACATGTGGTGTTTGGTTTTCTGTTCTTGTGTTAATTTGCTGAGAATGATGGTTTCCAGCTTCATCCATGTCCCTGCAAAGGAAATGAACTCATCCTTTATTCCATGGTGTGTATGTGCCACATTTTCTTTATCCAGTCTATCATTGATGGGCATTTGGGTTGGTTCCAAGTGTTTGCTATGTTTATTATATACGTATTTCAATGATCACACTGAGTTTGATAGAAATGGACAGTCATCTTTAAGATATGGAACTTGATTCATATACTCTACCCACATGTGTGTGCGTGGTCCCACAACACACAAGCTCACGGCAACCTTCTTAGGAAAAGTTTCCATATATCCGTGTATATGATTTTAATGGTAAGGGAGAACATGTGTACCATTCGGATATATTTAAGATCTATATGCTTCTGAGATATAAAATTTTTCAGGCAATTTATGAAATTAAATACAATATAACATGTAATAATTTCTACATAACTAATGTTAGCATTTATCGGGTGCCTGTGGCGTGTCCAGCATGGTGCTTGGTATATAAGTTTTCATCTAGTTTTGACAACAATCCTGCCTGGCGGGCGGCCACCCACCTCCACCTGCTCTTCAGAAAAGAATACAGCTTAGGAACTTGCCCCAGGGCCACAGAGTTGGTAAATACTTAGGGCCAGGGATCAAAACTGTACATGTCTGACCCCAAGGTTAGTATTTACTTCAACACATAATGCAGTATGGACAAACGAGGAGAAGACTATAAAATTGAGCAGAAGAAAATAAACAATTTACCTATTCTAGGTATAATAGTATCTTATAACAAGCATTTATAAACACACATGCATATATTTAATTAAGAGATACAGGTGCTAATCAAATGATGACTTCCTATGCCTATATTTGTCATAAATGATAAGATACTAAGGCCAAACCAGTAAACTATTACAGAGTCTCTGACTGGGAAGATGGCAGGCCTGGGCTGAGAAAATAATACTCAGGTACATTACTCTCCAATGATGGGACAGTGCTGAGAGAGAACTTCAGCAAGACAGAATCATGAGAAGTAGCGTTAGTCTAGAAAATTTGCATAAGGTGGAAATGCCACCAGCTTAGTCAACTCTGGCTGCTATAACAAAATATCATAGACTGGGCAGCTTAAACAACAGACATATATTTCTCACAGTTTTGAGACTGGAAGTCCAAGATCAAGGTGCTTATAGATTCAGAGTCTTGCAAGGACCCGTTTCCTGGTTTGCAGATGGCATCTTCTAATTGTGTCCTTGAGTGGCAGAGAACACCCTGGTTTCCTCCTTTCCTTATAAGGGTGCTAATCTCATCATGGGGTATCAACCCTCGTGTCTGCATGTAAACCAAATCACTTCCTGAAAGCATCACTTCCAAACACCATCTCATTGGAGATTGGGGCTTCAACATATGAATTTTGGTGGGACACAAATATTCAGTCCATTGCAATCACCTTCTCTTGGATTTTTGGTCTTTCCATCCAGAAGACTTCCTTTGTTCATTAGCAAACAAAACAAGATAGCATATCCAAGCCCACATTGCTGAGGCCTTACTATGGAGGCTACATGGATAGCAATGACATGTTAGACAGTGGAGACGTGAGGATGTGCATAGTGCTGCCAACCCTCCAGGAGCAGGGGAATGGCACGCACATGCCAGCCAGGTCAATGAAGACCAACAGGTGCTGCAAGGAGAACAGGTGTGGTCAGGCCTTCTGTGAGGAGAAAAGGAGCCACTAGTGGGGAAAGACATGTGGAGAAAGTGGCACTTGAGCCATGATGGGAAAGTGGTGAGGGGAGGCCACTGCATCTCTTCAAGATGGCGTTTTATGGTCGACGGTATTCGTCAGGTTTCCAAAAGGTGGATATTAATACATCCACCTAAATCCCTGCATCACTGGGCATTAAAAACCTTCCAGGGAGACTGATGTTAACCCCTTTTTGTGCCTGTTTATGTTTTTGGCCTACAGAGGCTTAGGGGGTGACGTGTTGCATAAGTTCATTATCTTCCAGGATATAAACAAGTCTTACGTTGTCCATCCTTTTTCAAATTTAAAGGATAGTCTTTACTGCAAAGTGCCCTGATAACTTCAGTGCAGCCTCATTTGGAATTGGTTTCACCTCTTTGAAAACTATAGTTACCTTTCATTTTTTGAAGAGTGAAGTTGGGATGAAGGGCAGGGACTTGGAATCAGCAAGACTGGGGCTCTCATCTCATTCTCTGCCTCTGCTGGTTATATGGCTAGAAAAATCAAGTCCTTTTTGACTCAGTTTTATTATCTGTAAAATAAGGATATTAATATCTAGAATCTGGAGTTATAATATATTTTGCAGTAGCTTAATGTAGTACATGATACATAGTAAGCATTTAATTAATAATATTGTTAAATTATCTAATGATTCACGGTATACTGTCCAATACTTTTAAGAGTAGTGATCATTTTTTGTTTATAATAATAATGATAATAGCCATGGTGGTATTTTCTATTTAAATATTCTTGATTTGAATGAGAAATGCTTAGGAAATTATGGCTTCTACTTAGCTCGTGATGATAATTTGTTAATCTTCAGATTATAGGATATTTTACATGGTAAGTTCAAAGAATGTGGTATTTTGGGTGATTTATTAATTTGCAATAAAGCAACATGGGTTACAGTCAACTAACAAAATGAAGTCAACCATAATACAATCTGCTTTTGATAATTCTAGAGACAACTCAGGGTCTTGTATTTTCTCGAAGTCTTCATTATGAATGTTGCTCAACATTGACAAATGGACAGTTTCTAGGGAGATTTTTTTTGTCTTTTGAGAGGGAGTCTCACTCTGTCACTCAAGCTGGAGTGCAATGACATTATCATGGCTCATTGCAACCTCTGCCTCCCAGGCTCAAGTTATTCTCCCACAGTGGCTGGGACCACAGGCATGTGCCACCATGCCTGGCTAATTTTTGTATTTGGATTAGAGACATGATTGTGCCATGTTGCCCAGGCTCGTCTGAAACTGCTGAGCTCAAGCATTCTGCCTGCCTTGGCCTCCCAAAGTGCTAGGATTACAGGGGTGAGCCACCATGCCTGGCCCTCCAGAGAGTTCCTAATGATGGCGTGTTGCACTCCAGTGCCCACAGTGTAGGTTTGCACCTTCATGCTTTCATGCTTGAGGGAATAGCTCCAATAGTTTCGTGGACTAAAATGCAGTGCTCATATCATGCAGCAAGCCAGCTGATTGGGTGTAAGTTAAAAATAGCTCACACCGTAAATGCTTTATATATAAGTTGCCCGCACCCGTTAGGTCAAACAGGCTGAGTTATTCAAGTTAAAATTAGCTCTGAATCAAGTATGTGCATACTGAGAGGGTAGGCTCTTTGTGAAATATTGAAGATGCAAACACTTTCTCCTGTAAAATGTTTATGAACATCACAGTTGAGTAGGTTGTTAAACACATTCTTGCTTGTCATAAGTCAGGGCCACATTGTACCCAGAGACCAAGGGGAGTTGATGCTACGTCTTCAAATACTTTCATCTCCATATTCTTGCTAATTTTCCAATACTGAATCATGAAATTGCAATTCTTTTGTTCAGTACTTGCTGAATTTTCAGTTTACCTGTTAAGCAGGCTTGTAGAGGATACGGATTTGAGAAAAAGAGGACAAAGAGCATGTGTTCAATAGAAACGAATTTGGAAATGTTTATTGTGGTTCATGCACAGGGGCATATGTGGTTGAATAATTTCAGATTCTGTGTCCCATTAATGACATAGCATCAGAGTTTCCTTTAATATCTTCCTACTCTGTATTAATTGATTCATTTATTATTAACTCAGTAAGCATTTATTGAACATTTACAGTATATCAATCATACCGCTAAATGCTCACTTTCTAGAGATGAAATGAACCTTAAACAAGGAAAGCATGGTATGTGTTACAACACAAGTACTTACAATAAGGCATAGGAATAACGAGATAAGTTATTGATTCTCCTTGGGGTGAAGAGCTTGGAAAAGGCTTTTTAAGATAGAAAAACCATGGATTTTCATGGATTGAAAAACCTGAAGGAGGAGTAGAAGCTGCGTCTCCAAGTCTATTGCCCATGGTAATGTGCTGCTGGAAAATGTTTAGCAAAGGGTTCTCCCAGGAGAAGAGCCTGATATGCAGCCTTCTTCCATTTGCCTGGTTTAAATACATCCACCATGGCCAATTTCAAACCACCACCATGCCCATCACTGGAGACAGCCTTGGGAACAGATGCCCAGTGACACTGCACCATGTCATACTCTGACCGGATGAAAAAGTAAATACCTTCAAGAGTAGACAATGGCCAAATGTAAACACATTATTGGGAATCCATGAGCTTTAAACCATTATTACCTCTGTTTTAATATAATTGATTTCTTGTAAAGTTTATATAATCTAAATATTTAAAACTGAAATAGCAGCAGACCTACACGTGTTTTGAACATTTGAAAGTCAGCTCCCACACTCTGATACCAGCACACCCTGGACTGTTTATGTTTTCTGAGCTGTGGTTGAGAATGCAAGAGTGGGTTCTAAATGCCGACACACACTACAACTGAAAAAGGGGAAGGTCAGAAGCCATTGGGAGAACCTTAGGATTCTCAGACTATTTCTTAATTTATGGTTAAGACTCTTTGGTTTAATATAATGTGTAAGTTTTAAAAAATCTTATGAGCAAATAACAAATCAGGCCATACTCAGTCAATTTCATCAAACTTATAAGATCCCTGACCATAAAGAGATTTCACACTAGAAAACAAGTTTGCAAGAGGAAGTAGACAGCACCTAACCTTGAACGCTGCATCAACCTTTTAGAATGATACACTTTGAAAGTAAGATAAGATGTTGACTTTGTTAATTTGCTTCTTCATTTAAATAAAACCTACTGTCTTTTGTGTTCTCAATTATTTTTGTTTAAGTATTGCAACATATCGAAACTAAAAATGTGTGGTCGAAAACTTTCTTTCAAAAATGACCAGCAGGCTAACGACACAGGACAGAGGAAATGAGGGTGGGTGCCCCATCTCCCAGTGATAGAGGTGGTGACAGGTGAGTGGGCCTGCTTTCAAGTCATTGCTCAAGAACTGAAGTTCTAGGCTCCAAGCCCAGGGCTGCTCTTTCCAATTTAACAGCACCTGAGCAAGGGGCCTGTTTTGTGTCCCAGGCAGCCTGCCGGTGCTGGGCATGCAACACGAATAAGATGAAGAGGCTCCCAAGGAGCTCACAGCACCTTAAAGCAAGGCAGAGGCTTGTGAAGCCTAAATAGATGGTATATTAGTCAGGGTTATCTAAAGAGATAGAACTAATCATATATATATATATATATATATATATATATATATGATCATATATATGATCATATATATATATATATGATCATATATATGATCATATATATATATATATGATCATATATATGAGTATATATATGATTATATGTGTATGATTATATATATGATTATATGTGACTATATATATAGTACTGTTAGGATGTATTTAAGATCTATATGCTTCTGAGATATAAAAGTTTTCAGGCAATTTATGAAATTAAATACAATACAGCATGTAATAATTTCCACATAACTAATGTTAGCATTTATCAGGTGCCTGTGATGTGTCCAGGCACATCATATATATATATATACATATATATATCCCACACATATATATCCCATATACATACATCCCCTATACATAGATCCCATATACCTATATATACCATATACATATATATCTCATATACATATATATCCCATATACATATATCCCATACATATATATCCCATATACATATATATCCCATACATATATATCCCTTATATGTATATATCCCATATACATATATATCCTATATACATATATATCCCATATGCATATATCCCATATACATATATATCCCATACATATATATCCCATATACATATATATCCCATATACATATATCCCATACACATATACCCATACATATATATCCCATATACATATATATCCCATATACATATATATCACATACATATATATCCCATATACATATATATCCCATACATATATATCCCATATACATATATATCCCCTATACATATATCCCATATACATATATATCCCATATACATGTATATCCCGTATACTTATATATCCCATACATATATATCCCATATACATACATCCCATACATGTATATCCCATATACATATATATCCCATATACATATATCCCATACATATATAACCATGTACATATATCCCATGTATATATCCTTCATATATAAATATCCCATATATATATCCCCATATATATGTGCAATATATATATCCCCATATATATCCCATATATATATATCGCATATATATATGGGATATATGTATATGGGATATATGTATATAGGATATATATATATATATGGGATATATATACGGGATATATATATATGGGATACATATATATGGGATATTTATATATATATAAAGGGGAGTTTATTAGGTTTTAACTCACATGTTCACAAGGTCCGACAATAGGCCATCTGCAAACTGAGGAGCAAGGAGAGCCAGCCCGAGTCCCAAAACAGAAGAACTTGGAGTCTGATGCTGGAGGGCAGGAAGCATCCGGCACAGGAGAAGGATGTAGGCTGGGAGGCTAGGCCAGTCTGACCTTTTCATATTTTTCCGCCTGCTTTGTATTCTCTGGCAGCTGATTAGAGGGTACCCACCCAGATTAAGTGTAAGTCTGCCTTCCCTGATCCATTGACTCAAATATTAATCTCCTTTGGCATCACCCTCAGAGACACACCCAGGATCAACACTTTGCATCCTTTAATCCAATCAAGTTGACACTCAGTATTAACCATCACAAATTGTGAGACCCTAGGAACATTTCACTGCCTTTTACATAACTTATTTAGAAATGTATGCAATTGCACCTGATAGCTTAAAATAATAAGGTATAAATTATATCCTTGGGTGTGTTATTTAAAGTCTCAAACATCTTCATTTCCTCAAATGTTAAGAAAGAAGAAGGAAGGAGGTGCTTGATCATCACCTGGGCCCCTCCTGTTCATGGCTGACATCACCCACTGTGTCCTGTTCTCTGAATTGGCTGTTAGGGCTGCACGTGGATCCCTGAGGGCTCTGATGAGTGTGTGTAGCCTCAGGCTTAGCCAGGTCAGGGCCCCTGTCCTCCTGGCCTTCCTCTTTGTACCCAGTTCCTAGCATAACGCCTCACACAGAATAGGTGCTGAGCTAACATCTGTTGAGTTAATAAATGATGTACCCAGCGGGCGAATACCCAGCTTGTCTTCCCTGTCGTGATTTTCTGTCCGGAAGAGTCTCATTCAGGCTACATTCCCCTCCTTCTGAAAACCTGAGGTTTCTCCATTCAAGATTCATTAACTTGGGACTTGTATTCTCAATATTTAGTAGAGGATATCTAATTACTGATGTTGAATGAATGAATGAACAGGACCATCAGTGGAGTCCCTCACTACAGTGTAAACACGAACCCCTAGACTGGCCAGCCCAAGAAGCTCAAGGCCTTGGACCCTCCCGCCCAAGGCAGGCTCTGAAGCATGGGCCTGAGAAGGAAATAATTGCTCACACAAACAGGCAACACAATGACAAAATGACAGATGAGAAAACACAGATGAGACATTTTCACTCAGATTGATGCAGTGTGCTACCTTATTTAGTGTCTTTGAATTTATGCTCCTAGCCTTTCAATTAAAACATAACTTTATGCTCATTTGTACGTGCTTTCCTTGTTTTAACCATTCTGCCCTTGAGGGATAATTAACTAATTTTTCTGTACGTTAATGGCTTCCACAATCATATTTCTAGTGGGGTCGTTCCTTAGTTTTGAAGACAGGTTAAGGTAAACTCTAAAGGTATAACGTCTGTTTAATGAAAGATTTCCAGTGAAAGCACAGGCTAACCTGGTTGCTCAATGATTTCTCCCCATCTTTCCTGTTTCTGTCACGCCTCTCAAAGAGCTATGGCTGAGGGGATGTAGGCGTTGCTTTGCCACCCGCATTAAGGCTGATAGCCACCAGAGCAATATAATTCTATAATTGTGTTCATTCTATAACTTTACTTAACAGCAAATTGTCTAAGGCAACAAAATGAGCCAAAACTAGAGTAGATACAGGATGTTCAGTATGGGTCTTCCCTAGCGTTGGCCCCTCCTGAGCTCCCAACTCATCCATCTCTGTGTCTAGACTTCGACTCCTGGTTGATCTCTGGACACCTCAGACTGAGCTTCTATATTGCACACTCTGTTCAGGATCGTCTCTTCTCCCCAGGGCTTCGTCTCTTTTGCATATTTTCTGTAGTAAGGACCAGGCTTGATCCCCTTTGCATATTACCTGTGGTAAGGAATAGGACCAAGGTGTACAATGCCCAGTCAGACAAACTCTCTCCGTTCTCCTTGTAATATCCCCCAAACTCTATCATCTCTCCACCTGAATAAACCCTCATCTCTTCAGCTTACACTGTAGCTACCTGAGTTATCTTAAAAATACATATTTAAAACAGAATTTGGGTCTGGGGACTCCATCCGTCATGCACAGCCCAGGGCCTGTGTGGGACATGCCCCTCCTTCCTAATCCTCTCACTTCATATCTTCCTTTACACAGGGCCATCTTCGCAGGCTGAACTCATCACCCAGAATGAGATCCAGCAGTGGTGGACGGATGTCAGTTTTACTATGTTCCCTTATTAGCTGGGAAACATATCTCAGAGGTCAGCCCCTCTGCACACCCCTGTAGATTCGTTATCTGTCCAAATTGTGTTCAACGCTCTCTCCCCATTGCCTTCTAGCCCAGGGGTAGAATGACTGCACCTGATTGAGACTGAGCAAGGCTCATCCTTGGGATGGGGACTGGGGGAGAAGCCAGCTTGCTCTGAGGCGCACAGACACTCATATTGATCGGGATTGGGGCTCTGTTAGAAAGACGCAGGGAGGAAATGGGTGGGTGAATTGGCACCAGTGGTGTCTCCGCAACATACAGAGTCTTTGATGATCTGGCCTTGGCTGCTTCTACTCACTGCTATTTCACGATTAAACATACAGACACTCCAGGATGCCTGCTGTTCATGAATTTGCCCTGGGTCTTCTGTTTCCATGATTTTCCGCAAGACACTTGCTCCCTGAAGGTTGCTTTTCAGAACTCTTGTTTACTTTCTCTAATGAGTAACTACTAATCCTCTAACAGCTCAATTCAGTCATCACCATGCGTGGACAACTGCTCTTCACCCCAAGGCCTGGGTTTCCAGAGCAACCCAAATAAGGAGGAGGACTCCTCTGTCACTCACAAAATCATCTCAGGTGTTTATGTTGTCTCCAAGGACTTTCTCAGCCTAGTCCTCACGTCCTTCCTGACCTCATCCCAACAGCTCCCATCCCCTAGTTGGCTCCAGCCACCCTGGCCCTGCATTGTTTGCCAGGGCTGTAGTGCCCCAAGGCCTTGCCAATGGCTGCTATCCAAAATCTCTTCCCCAAGATCTCCACACACCTCAATTTTCACTCCTCCGAGACCTTTCTCAAATGTCATCTCCATGACATCCTACACAAGGGGACACCTGCCACCCCTTCACTCTCTTTTTATCTTTCCTTATTTTTCACATAACCCTTATAATCTGACATATCATAAAACCTATTAATATATATTAATATAATGTAGGGACTATGATTATATAATGTGTAAATGTTTATAAATGTTTGCACATTTGTCTTATCATTAGAATGTGAGCTCCATAAGAACAGCCCCCCTTTACCTCACTCCCAAACTGGTGTATCCCTAATGCCTACAAGATTGCCTTGCTTGTACCAAGCACTCAATAATCATTTAGAGAATGAAGGAATGAAAGGATCTGAGCATACTTCTAGCTTGGCGCCTTCAGGGTTGTGCCATAGTTATCTTTCTGCTAAAATTCGAGCTCTTACAATTAGACTGCAATGCTTTTATTTCTCTATCTCTTACACCTGGTAAATCATGTGCACCATAGCAGGTGTAATAGTTCATTTTCATGCTGCTGATAAAGACCTATCTGAGACTGAGTAATTTGTAAAGAAAAAGAGATTTAATGGACTCACAGTTCCACATGGCTGAGGAGGCCTCACAATCATGATGGAAGGCTAAAGGCACATCTTACATGGAGGCATAGAAGACAGAATGAGAGCCAAGCCAAAGGGGTTTCCCCTTATAAAGACATCAGATTGCATGAGACTTATTCACTACCATGAGAACAGTATGGGGGAAACTGCCCCCATGATTCAATTATCTCCCTCTGGGTCCCTCTCACAACACATGGGAGTTATGGGAGCTACAATTCAAGATGAGATTTGGGTGGGGACACAGCCAAACCATATCAGGCAGCTTTCAAAAAAGGCTTGTTGAAAGAATAGATGATGTGTAGATCCTGGCCCTGTGCATGTTAACAGCAAGGATCAATCGTGATTCAGTATTTCTGTCTTAATTATTTTAGCAAGTATACATTAAAATCAGATATTTTCAAATTTTTAATCAATTACTTGAACTCTACTGAATATGTCATTTTAAACGGACAGGCGTTTATATCATTTAAGTTGCTTTTGAAGCATATTCTTCACATCGGTTCTCACAATCTATAGACTAAAGAAAAGATAAGACCTGTGAGGAATAGAAATGGAAAGTCTCACCAGTGTGGTGGGGAAAACAATGAGAAAAACAAAGCATCAAGCCAAGCGTGGTGGCTCATGCCTGTAATCCCAGCATTTGGGGAGGCCAGGGCATGTAGATCACTTGAGGTCAGAAGTTCAAGACCAGCCTGGCCAACATGGTGAAACACTGTCTCTACTACAGATACAAAAATTAGCCAGGTGTGGTGTTGGGCACCTGTAATCCCACCTACTCCGTGGAGGCTGAGGCAGGAGGAGGCTAAGGCAGGAAAATCACTTGAATCTGGCAGGTGGAGGTTGCAGTGAGCTGAGGCCACTCCACTGCACTCCAGCCTGGGTGACAGAGTGCGACTCCATCTCAAAAAAACAAAACAACAACAAAAAAGCAAACCAACACTGAGGTCATAAATGCAGGAGCCTAAGCCTTGGGTTGATCATTCAAGAGATTCCTAGGGGTGCTCTAAGAAATAGCCTCAGCTTCAAGCTACTGCCTTGGATAAACACCTTCCTATATTTTAATGACTTTAATTCATTTGAGATAAGATATGTAGCGATGGTTTCACATTTCCTGAGTTTTATCTTTCTGTTTGTCCCATTAAGTGGAATTTTTCAATATTTCTCTCAGGGATTATTTAGAACCCTACTGAGTCAATTACTTGGTTAATATTAAGTGGGATAGTAAGGAATCAAGATACTAATTATTTTCCTGACAAATATATATATCTTTGAGATGGAGTCTCGCTCTGTCGCCCAGGCTGGAGTGCAGTGGCGTGATCTTGGCTCACTGCAACCTCCGTCTCCCGGGTTCAAGCAATTCTTGTGCCTCAGCCTCCGGAGTAGCTGGTATTACTGGTGCATGCCACCACACCTGGCTAATTTTTGTATTTTAGTAGAGATGGGGTGTTGCCGTATGGGCCAGGCTGGTCTCGAACTCCTGACCTCAGGCCATCCGCCCACCTCAGCCTCCTAAAGTGCTGGGATTACAGGAATTACAGATGTGAGCCACTGTGCCTGGCTGACAAATTATATTTTATTTAGCAAAACAATATATCAGTAAAAGATGCAAATACCTAATATTGTTCCAGTAATTTTATCTCATTGGTCAATGCTCATGATACAAAATTCCTAATCACCTGAAACTTTCTTATTATAAGCATTGTTAACCTCTTAGGTTATGGATGTTTCTTGAATGTCATGGAAACATCAGAGAAATTGGTAGTTTATGTATAATTATGTTATTTTACATTAATAATATATATCAAATATACATATAAAATAGGAAAGTCACTTTTAAAGAATGTATTGAAATCTTTGACGCACAGAGACAAAATGAAACCCTGAGAAATTGTGATGTATTTTTTGGAATTTGTGACGTTGAAATTCTGTCTGAATTGTTTATGATGTCTGGCTTTACTGCTAAACTTTTAGCTATTTTAATGTTGACTCTCTTGATAGCTTTGTGTACAGTTTTACCAGTGTCAGGATGTACTCTTTATTTTCAATGTTAACCTGGACATCTTCATTAGATATTTTTATTCAACATCCCGATAAGATGATGGGCCAGCTCTTTTCAGCTTCTTGATGCAAAAGCAATGAGAAAAGATGCTCCTGATCTTGGCGGAGCCTTTGAAATGGTGGGGAGACAGACAGAATAATACAAGGCAGAGGAAAACTCCTCAGTCTCTTTGCTTTTCTCTCATGAGGAAACACTCACGCTCTTGACCCACCATCAGCATACAATCCTGGAGGATATTTTACATATTCTATGCATGATTAACATTGAGCTGCCTATGCTTTCTGAGCAATTTCCATTTTGCCCAGAATAACATGGTTTTGGAAGAGAACTGATTCAGGTTATTGAAGTGAACCAGGAGCAGAAAAAGCTTCATTGTATGAAGTCCAATATTTTAATTTTAAGATGAAGCTGGAAAACATCATTCTGAGCAAACAGTTGCAAGGACAGAAAACCAAACACCGCATGTTCTCTCTCATAGGTGGGAATTGAACAATGAGAACACTTGAACACAGAGTGGGGGAACATCACACACAGGGGCCTGTAGTGGGGTGGGGGTCTAGGGTAGGGATAGTATTAGGGGAAATACCTAATGTTAAATGACGAGTCAATGGGTGCAGCAAACCAACATGGCACATGTGTACATATGTAACAAACGTGCACATTGTGCACATGTACCCTAGAACTTAAAGTTTAATAATAATAACAAAATTTAAGATTAAGAACTTTAACTCAAGCCATCCAATGGCTGAAGATTTACAATAAGATTTAGTAATGTTTGAACAAAGCCTTGGTTCTGTGAACCCCAAATATCTGAAACATGACTCAGTTAATTTAGAAAGTTTATTTATCCAAGGTTGAGGTTGCGCCTGTGACACAACCTCAGAAGATCCTGATAACACGTGCCCCCGGTGGTCAGAGTATAGTTTGGCTTTACACATTTTAGGGAGACATGAGACATCAATCAGCATATGTGAGGTGAACGTTGGTTCGGTCCAGAAAGGCAGGACAACTCAAAGCAAAGGCGGGCAGAACGGCTGGAAGCAGAGAAGGGGTTTCCAGTTCATAGGTAGAAAAGAGGCAAATGATTGCATTCTTTTGAGTTTCTGATTAGTCTTTCCAAAGGAGGCAATCAGATATGGGTTTATCTCAGTGAGCAGAGGGGTGGCTTTGAATAGAGTTGGAGGCAGGTTGGCCGTAAGCAGTTTCCAGCTTGACTTTTCCCTGTAGCTCAGTGATTTTGGGGCCCTGAGGTTCATTTTCCTTTCACAGTCCCTATGGCTATCAAATCGATGTCTGAATCTCTCAGTTCTCTTGAGTCCTTCCTGTCCACATGTCTTAAAAGCAGTCAGGGAAATTTACAGAAGTGCCCCTTTATAAAGTCAAACTTGCCATGTTCCAAACAGAACGCACCATGCCTACCTCTGAAAAATATATTCTACTGCCCACATCCCACCCCTGTCTGTCAGTAGTATCAGCACTCTCTCACTTTCATGGAGAACGGCCTCTTCAACTCTTTGTTTAAAAATATCTTTGTTGTTCACGCTTTCTCTGTGCTGGAAATGAAAATGCACCAGCCTTTCTTCCTAACCTTTTCTTTGTCGGCCTCTCCTGAGGCCCCCACTGCTTCAGGTCTTCATTGCGGGCAGTTCTGTGGGGCTCTGATTTTGCTGACATCTGCATTTTCCTTTATTCCCACTGCCAGACAAATGGCATGGAGTCTTTATTTATTTATTTATTTTACTTTAAGTTCTGGGATACTTGTGCAGAACCTGCAGGTTTGTTACATAGGAACACATGTGCCATGGTGGTTTGCTGCACCTATCAACCCATCATCTAGGTTTTAAGCCTCTCATGCATTACATATTTGTCCTAATGCTCTCCCCCCTCTTTCCCCCTACCCACCGACAGGCCCTGGTGTGTGATGTTCCCCTCCCTGTGTCCATGTGTTCTCATTGTTCAACCCCACTTATGAGTGAGAACATGCGGGGTTTGGTTTTCTGTTCCTGTGTCAGTTTGCTGAGAATGATGGCTTCCAGCTTCATCCATGTCCCTGCAAAGGACATGAACTGATTGTTCTTCATGGCTGCATAAAAAATGGTGTATTCAACCATTCTGGAAGACAGTGTGGAGATTCTTCAAGGATGTAGAACCAGAAACACCATTTGACCTAGCGATCCCATTACTGGGTATATAGCCAAAAGGATTTTAAGTCATTCTACTATAAAGACACATGCACACATATGTTTATTGCAGCACTATTTACAATAACCAAGACTTGGAACCAACCCAAATGCCCATCAATAATAGACTGGATAAAGAAAATGTGGCATGGAGTCTTGACATTCATATATTTAAGTTAGGGAGAGATGGAAAGGAGAGGAGGAGTGGGGAGAGAGAGATTTTAAGAAACCATTTAACTGTTTACAACATTTATAGTTCATTTTACTCACTAGTGACAATGAGAAAGAAAATAAAAATGCTCCCATCTGGGATTGAGCATAGTTGAACATACTGTGTTTTCCTAAACCCACTGTTAATTCAAGGGTAGTTTTGTATGTTTACACCTTTTCCTTGGTGAGCTATCTCTATAGCCTAAATCTTTTGTGAAGATAAAACATCCTGGTGTTCCACTAATGTCCCTTTAAGCATGCTCCTTCTCTGTTTCTACACAACTACTGAGCAGTTGCCTTTCATGTTTTCTACGACTTCGAGTAAAAATCCCCCGCTTCTTCCATCAAGGTCTGCGTAGCTCCTCTCTCCCGCAGCCTCTGGGTGTCCCGTTCTCATTTTCTCTCTTCCCTCAATCTTACTCCTCTTTGCTATAAATTTGCTGTCTTCTTCCATCTTCCTGTACAAATCCTATGTGTCGTCCTTCAACACCGATCTAAAGGGTGGCTTGTTTGGTGTGATAAAAACTTCATCTGAATTAAATTTAAAGGAGTTTGCCGGTCATGGTGGCTCAGGCCTGTCACCCCAGCACTTTGGGAAGCCAGGGCGGGTGAATCACTTGAGGTCAGGAGTTCGAGACTAGCCTGACCAACATGGTGAAATCCCGTCTCTACTAAAAATACAAAAATTAGCTGGGCGAGATGGTGGATACCTGTAATGCCAACTACTTGGGAGGCTGAGGCGGGAGAATCACTTGAACCCGGGAGGTGGAGGTTTCCGTGAGCCGAGATTGTGCCACCGCACTGCAGCCTGGGTGATAAAGTGGGACTCAGTCTCAAAAAAGAAAAAAAAATCAGTTTAATTGAGCAATGAACATTTCGCAAGTCAGGCAACCCCTAGAATCACAGCAGATTCAGAGAGCCTCAGCACAGCCACGTGGTGGAAGAAGATTTATACACAAAAAAAGGGAAGTAACATACAGAAATCTGCAGTGAGGTGGAGAAACAGCTGGATTGGTTGCAGGTTGGCATTTGCCTTGTTTGAGCACAGTTTGAACGCTCAGCAGGGTATAAATGGTTGAAGTATGGCTGCTGGGACTGGCCAAGGCTGAGCTCTTGTTACAGATGCATACTCGTAAATTAGGTTCTCAATCTTGTCTGCCTGTTCAGTTAGTTGCAATTCATCCACAAGGAGTCATATACGAAAGTACGGAGTTCTCCTCAGGCTATATTTAGTTTGCTTTAACAGATGGAACCCGGCTGTATCCTAGCATTTGTTTTCTCCTTCTCTGAGCATTTCAAGGCTTAGCGGTGGCAGGAAGCATCCGCATACCAAATAGCAGTTGACGCTGGGTGCTGGCGCTCACCTCTGCCAATCCCTCACCTCTGCTTCACACCTGTCAGTCTTGTGTGTGCAGGAACTCAAGAAACTTCTATGAATTGGGAGCAGCTGTGTATACAAAAAATCTGTCATAGAGTCTGAACAATTGAATTCCAAATCTGATCTAATCCTCATGAGTTAAGAAAAAGTCAGTCGGGCGGGGTGGCTCACGCCTGTGATTCCAGCACTTTGAGAGGCCGAGGTGTGTGGATCATTTGAGGTCAGGAGTTTGACATCACCCTGACCAACATGGTGAAACCCTGTCTCTACTAAAAATATAAAAATTAGCCAGGTGTGGTGGAGGGACCCTGTAATCCCAGCTACTCAGGAGGCTGAGGTAGGAGAATCGCTTGAACCTGGGAGGTGGAGGGTGCAGTGAGCTGAGATTGCACCACTGCACTCTTGCCTGGACTGCAGGGCCTTGTTTTTTTTCAAAAAAAAAAAAAAAAAAAAAAAAAAAAAAAAAAAAAAAAAAAAAAAAAAAAAAAAAAGCCACTTGATCTGAGCCCTAGTTTACATATAAATTCTTACTCCTGTGTTTGCTTGGATGATCAAACAACAATAAGAAATGCCAACATACGTGGATTACTTTTTCTGTGCTGGTCCCTGGGAAGATCGCTAATACTTTCAGTCCTGTCAATAATCCTGTAAGGTGGACACAGTTACCATCCCGCTTCACAGATAAGGTCATGGAAAAACATAGGCAAAGAATGTATACAAGATCCCACAGACAGTAAATAGCAGAGGCTTCAAATGTAGATAATTGCGGGCTCCCAAACCCACACTCTAAACCACTGCAGTATAATAGCCTCTCATTACAAATGAAATAATGTAGTTGAAAGTATTTTGCAAACTATAAAATGTCAGCCACATACATCACGATGGTACCTTATTTCTATTTTATACTTCATAGCGTGTTGCTGAACACAGGGACAGTACAGAATGAAGCTTGGCGATTAGATACGTATTGTTCAGAACGAGCAGTGTGTGAGTTGGATTTCTTCTTAAAAGTTTGAAATTATTGCAATTCTTTTAGATTACACAATGAAGATATGCTCTTTCTTGGAAATTTCATCTTCATAGTTTAGATTTATATGGCATTATTTCTCTAAAGAAGTTGAAATTGTATAGTCTATTTGGGAATGTCATTTTATGCCGAATGGTTTTACTTCCCAGTTCTATTGCGTATTGGGAATTCAAGATCTTTACCAGTATTTTTCATAGGGGTGTTGGGGGAATTAATATTATGGAGTGTAGAACTGATTTGAGCTTGTTTGGAAAGCCCATATTGTTAACAGAAACAGCAGTATTTTCTTGTTATCTGCTTTGCCACATCACCACTACCCTTCTCCTCTAGTGGGAAATCCCAAAGGGACCAATTCACAGTTGAATCATTTTTGCTAATATGATAACCCCCCGAAAAAAAGAACTAGGATCATCCCAGGACAGCTGGCAAAGAGAATAACAGTTTGACCTTGGCTAAGTGAAACGCATCTGCTTCTGTGTTTCGGAGATTTGAAAACTAAGTAGTGTCTCAGATAATTATACAATGATTCTAAACACTGAGACCCGTTACCTGTGTCTAAGTGAAAAATTTCATCAGTGGGTAGTAAACTAGATTGGCAAGTGCAAAATGAAAATTTGTTTCTTTGTAACAATAACTACACAATTTGTCAAGAAGGTGATCATCTCTGCAATTTGGTAGTCTTTGTTATCATGTTCTCATAGGAATAAATATACACAATTTCACCTCCCTGGGCTTCCCTTGCCTTGCCGTAGAATACAATTTTGCTTCGTAGAAATGATTCCATGAATCTGCAACAAGTTACATTTTATTTTAAGGATTTATGTGCTATCTATGTAAATTGTTCTGAAATAATTAGATTACCATTTCGGAAATTAGAACTAATTTCAAGTAGATGCAATGGCGCCGTGTTAATTAAATGACACTGCTCTGAGGACCTAGAAGTATTTTAGAAGAACACACTACAAATATTAGGTCATTCCTAGCATATGAAAGTTATATTTTAAATATGCATTATTTGGTAGGTCAAGAATGGAATTATTAATTGAAATGGCAAAACAGAAGGCATTCGAAACATCCCCTGGAATTAGGAGAAAACCTTCAATGTTATTAACCATAATTCAAACAAAATTGTTGGAAGACTTTATTTTTATTTTTATTTTTTGAGGTGGAGTCTCTCTTTGTCACCCAGGCTGAAGTTCAGTGGCACGATCTTGGCTCACTGCAACCTTAGCCTCCTGCGTTCAAGTGTTTCCCCTGCCTCAGCCTCCTGAGTAGCTGGGATTACAGGCACGCACCACCACGCCCAACTGATTTTTGTATTTTTAGTAGAGATGGGGTTTTGTCATGTTGGCCAAGCTGGTCTCAAACTCCTGACCTCAAGTCATCCACCTGCCTTGGCCTCCCAAAGTGCTGGGATTACAGGCATGAGACACCAAGCCCGACCAAGGAAAGCTTTAAATTAAATATATATATATATACACAATATATATATTATAGATATATGTGCTTGCTCATTAAAACAAAACATTACTAACATTTACTTTTAAGATTGGGATGATTTACAAATAAAAAGAGTAATTCTTATTACAAAGATGTATTTAAAGTTGAGTAGTGATTTAAGTAAATCTATATGCTAAATCCATTGTTTATACACAAATACAATCATTGATAAGAAAAAAATACATTTCACTCCCATGCCTATTCCATGTATTTATCTTTTATTTTACATTGAGAGTCATATTTGAATACAGTTTACATAGAAAATTGTATCTTCTGGAGTTACATTCTGAGAGAGATAAGCTGCTGAAGTTTTTGAGTTGGTTTTTTATTTGATGATAATAATGTTGCTAGCATTGTGATAATCAGTGCTGAATGCCTCTGGGCTGACGCTGTTATGCTCTGAGTATTTCAAGACGAGAAATCCAGTTTTCCTTCTCCAAATCCCAAACTTCTCTTTATAGAATATATTTGATGTATTTACCATTAATCAACAATGATGTAAGGTCCCTCCCCATCAGAAAAAGGAAAAAGAAAAATTTGCACAGAAGCTCCAGGGTAAGTTTCAAGAGGATTTTTGTTTATAGTTTCTCTTTTATTATTATTATACTTCAAGTTCTGGGGTACATGTGCAGAATGTGCATGTTTGTTACATAGTTATACACGTGCCATGGTGGTTTGCTGTGCCCATCAACCCATCATCTACATTAGGTATTTCTCCTAATGCTACCCCTCCCCTAGCCCCCTACCCACTGACAGGCCCTGGTGTGTGATGTTCCCTTCCTTGTGTCCATGTGTTCTCATTGTTCAACACCCACTTATGAGTGAGAATATGCAGTGTTTGGTTTTTTGTTCTTGAGTTAGTTTGCTGAGAATGATGGTTTCCAGCATCATCCATGTCCCTGCAAAGGACATGAACTCACCCTTTTTTATGGCTGCATAGTATTCCATCGTGTATATGTGACACATTTTCTTTATCCAGTCTATCATTGATGGGCATTTGGGTTGGTTCCAAGTCATTTTCTTAGTTTGCACCTGCTGCCTGAGACCTTTGATACCATACAGTTTTATAGTTTCATTGCAGAGATCTTTTACTTCTTGGTGAGGTATATTCTTAGGTATCTTATTTTATTTGTAGCTATTGTAAATGGGACTGGTTTTTCTTTTCAGATTGTTCACTGTTGGCATATAGAAATGCTGCTGCTTTTGTATGTTGATTATACCCCAAGGCATAATGAAATGATGTAAACATAGATCCTGCAGCATCTTCCTGTAGGATGTAAATTTACTTTTTTTTGTAGCCAAATGCTAGGGACAGATGATGCCATATTCTCCAATGACAATGTCCAGTGCAGCAACTCGGTAGTGGACTCTCTCCAGAAGAAAAGTTTATCCCAAAAATGCCCTGGCAGACACTTTCCTGTATGTCTCATTGGCCATGAGTGGGTCACATCCCCATGTCCTAAAATTCACTGATTGGCTTGCAAAGTGAGTCTCTGATTTTTAAAGGCTTTTTTTTTTTTTAGACAGAGTCTTGCTCTGTTGCCCAGGCTGGAGTGCAGTGGTGTGATCTTGGCTCACTGCCACCTCTGCCACCCAGGGACAAGCTATTCATCTGCCTCAGCCTCCTGAATAGCTGGGACTACAGGGATGCCCACCACATCTGCCTAATTTTTGGATTTTTAGTAGAGATGGGGTTTCGCCATGTTAGCCAGGCTGGTCTCGGACTGCTGACCTTGTGATCTGCCTGCCTCAGCCTCCCAAAGTGCTGGGATTACAGGCGTGAGCCACCACGCCTGGCCTAAAGCCTTTGTAATAGAAAGACAGCTGCACCAGCAAGGAAGAAAGGAGAGTAAAGGGCTTCGTAAGAAAACTCCTCTCCCATCTCATGTTCTCATTTGAGCATCTACCCATTATTTTGCGGATTAGAAGACTGAGGACTGCACTATTGCATAATGAATGCTTCAGATGCAGATTTCTGTCCACCAAACACCATCTTTTCACTCTCACAAAGATAAGAAATGCTGTGTATAGGTGATGCACTGAGAGGAAAAAAAAAGAGAAAGCAGGTGTCATCTATCAAATAAACAGCCGCGCTGGAAAGCTTTTCTAGGAAAGTAGTGCTATACCTTTCGCCCTAAGCTTCTGAGAGAGTATTTCTGTGTTGAGTAAACTCACGTTTGACTTTCTCCTTTCCTTCCTGTTTACCTGGGTCCCTCACATGGTTATGTCTAACAGCGGCTTCTGAATAGCTCTGGTAGGAAACATTCTCACTTGAGCTGTACATACAGCCCTTCCTAAAGAGGCTTTCGCCCCAATGAGTTCACTGCGCACCCCATGATCTTCTGGTAGCATCTGTGTGTAGCAGGGGTGCTGGGCATTATTTGAAATATATCTCATGTTATTTCCCCCAGAGAGATGTCCATCTTTGCAGAATAAAACTTATTTCACCAACCCTTTCAGTGAAAGGGGTTCTGAGCCAGGTGGGACAGGAATCAGAGTCTCTGGAGGGCTCCAGTCCTGCTCTTCATTCCTGGCATCACAAGGATTAAGGTCTTGCATGTTCTATTCTTTCCAAAGATGAAGTCTGACAGGTTTTCCGTCAACTAGTCTTTGCATCAGTCCTGAAAATATTGGAAGACTTTCTTTCTTGCTATTAGACTCTACCTTTCCTGCCTCCTACAGCCGTAGCTAATTTCCCAATGAGCATGTTTGTGCTGAATTATAAATCATTTAGAATGGGTGGATATACAGCAGTGGAAGATTAAAAAAAAAAAAAAAAAAAAAACGCAACCTCCATTGAGTCATCTTGTAGGCTCAGCTGGCTTGCAGCCCTGCCTGAGGGGCCTGGTGGGACGGGCATTCATCAGTGGGGGTTCTCTCTTGGTACCTTACACAGTTGGGTTTCCCAGCAGGTGCACTGTGCAGTGGTCCTGAGCTGGCTGTGTTTATGCCAAACCTATTTCTGATACTATTGTTTGTCATTATAATTATGTAGAGTAATGAAATATGCTATAAACTAATTAAATGTTATCTTAAAAGAGTTACTGTGACTAGAGTAATAGTGAAAAATGAAAATCACTGCCAAATTCGCTGTAGGGAAGATGACAGTAAACAATGTGGGAATTATTTTTAAGAAATTGAAGGATCATGCACAAAGATAGCCTTCATGTTCATGGGTCTTAAATTCTTGCCTTGTTTTGTAGTAACCAAAACCTTGACGTTTTAGATGATCATTAAAAGTTGGTTTTGACCAAAAAATAATCTGTGTTCCCTGTGGAACAAAGTCAAAAGCAAGAGATTTAGCTCTATAGCTAAAGCTTGGAAAATTAATGTGTATTTTCATATTTTGAATGAAAATAAATTGGTTAAAAAACATTCTTTAAATTATTTCCCTCTTTAACTGATATATTTTAATTAAATTTAAAAATTTGAGCGTTATTGCTGTCTCCCTTTCTTCACACCTGGCATTTTCAGTTTGAGATGCATCAGGCTCCAAAAAGCAGGAAGTGCCAGATGAGATGCTCCCTGGCTCAACTGTGTGGAGCCCAGCTCCTGTCTCCCAGTCTGTTGCAGAGCTGGCAGGTCCGGGTGTGGGTAGAGCAGGTGATGTGTTCTATGGATCCTGGGCGCCATGGTAGCCCTGAGGCAGCTGGTAGACCCAGTGGGAGCACCCAGTCCTACCCCGTTCAGCTCAAGCCCTGGAGCACTTCATCACCTGCAGAGATGCCCAATGTGTCCCTGTGCTGGCTCTGACCCGAATCTCAGCCAGTCTTACTTAGCATATCACAAATGGAGCTCTCACACCTAGCAAATCAAAGGCTGCCCTGCTTTGAAAAAGATATGGGAGGTCTTTGAGTATGTAGACAATTTTTTCTTCTCCTAAACTCTCCGTATAATCATGACAATTTCTTATTTGTAAGTTCTCCTAACAGTGTGGATTTAGGTATCTCTCCTCTTGATTTTTAAAAGCTCCTGTGTACCCTCTTCCTGTACCATTATCTTTTCCCTATGTGCACAGGCATGTGGACTACACCAAAGGGTACTTTACATCTCTGCTATTTATACGCAGTCTAAAACTAACTGATTTCAATGTGACATCAAACTTTTCAAACTCTAGTATGAATTATTACATAATTTTATAAATCTTTGTATTTCTATTGTACTTAAATTTTGGCTAAGAATGTCATTTTAAATAAGTCCCTGAAAACCAAGGTTTACATACAATTCAGTCAAACTGAAGGTAAATATTAAAACACTGCTGAGAATGATGTCTTCAGTGATGTGTGTGTGCACACAGGGTGTCCTGTGAAGATGAGGGGTGGTTACACTGTTTCCTGACAACACCCTCTACTCTAACAGAAAAGAGACGTTATTACAGTGATTTCTGCCTAATTGGATGTTATACAGTTGGCCCCTCCAAGCAGTGACATTTGCTTTTCACATCAATGATCCAAGTTCAAATCACATTTTCTATGTGACAACAGTAGGCTGTCATGGGTGAAATGAAACTTGTCAGTTTCAGACACAAGAGCAAGTGCTGATTTTTAATACTGATGCTGTCAGGATTAAGACAGTCATTTCTGGGAATGTAAATGAAGATAAATATATATATTTAAATCTATCAAATATGTATTGGTCATTAAACTTGTGTCACGAGTTAGGGATATGTCATTTTGGGGACCCACTGTGTAACAGCCATGCGATGTGGCCGGTCCTTCACTAGAGTCCTCATTCCTCAAAGGAGGCTTCCACAAGTGCCAGGACTTGGGCTGTAAAAAGCTGGCCCTTATCAGGCTTCGTGGCCTAAAGGAGGAATGATTTAGAATCCCCATAACTGGCCAGGCAGGGTGGCTCACACCTGAAATCCCAGCACTTTGGGAGGCTGAGGTGCGCTGATTACTTGAGGTCAGGAGTTCGAGACCAGCTTGGCCAACATGGTGAAACCCTATCTCTATTAAAAATATGAAAAATAGCCGGGTGTGGTGTTGGGCACCTATAATCCCAGCTACTGGGGAGGCTGAGGCAGGACAATCGTTTGAATCCAGGAGGCGGAGGTTGCAATGAGCCGAGATCATGCCTCTGCAGTACAGCCCGGACAACAAAAGTGAATCTCAAAACAACAACAACAACAAAAGAACCCCCATAACTTTAGTTTTCTTTAATTTTTTTCCAGCCATCCCTAACTTATCTATTTGATATTTATATGAGACAATGTAAAAAATAAGAAAAGTTTGGAAATAATTACAATTTTAAATATATTTGTATATTTATATATTTAAAAATATATGCAACTTGAAAAAATTTGAATTTATAGGGCTTTCAATTAATAAAGCATATGCATGGAGGCTGGAAGCATGACGTTGATGAATGAGTCTTTACTGAGTGCTGTTTTCTGATAGAAAACATTTGTGTCTTTTATTGGCTTCTAGTATAATTTGAGTGGCATTAATAGTGCAGACAATGCTAATTATACTTGAAAGCAGTCAGGAGAAAATAAGGGGCTTTCAGTCTTTAGTGGTGTTCATTTATTCATTCGTTTATTCATTCATTAAATATGTATTGAGTGCTGACTGTGTGCACCCTCTGTTCTAGGTTCTGCCAATACGGTAGTGAGCAAAACAAAGTCTTGCCCCCAGGACTTTATATTCCAGGTATATGTTTGGGCTGTTTTCCCAGCCAAATCTCACCTTGAACTGTAATAATCCCCACTTGTTAGGGGCGGGGTCACTTGGAGATAATTGAATCACATGGGCAGTTTCCCCCATACTGTTCCTATGGTAGTGAATAAGTCTCACGAGATCTGATGGTTCCATAAATGGGAGCTCCCTTGCGCGAGCTCTTTTGCCTGTCACCGTGTACGACATGCCTTTGCTTCTCCTTTGCATTCTGCCAAGATTGTGAGGCCTCCCCAGCCATGCTGAAATGTGAGTCCATTAATCCGCTTCCTTTATAAAATACCCAGTCTCAGGTATGTCTTTATTAGCAGCAAGAGAATGAGCTAATGCATCCATTGTGTTTGGGAAGGAGACAGAAACAAACAAGTCAACGTATTTGTGATGGTGCTAAGCGCTCTGATGGTGGTAAGCATGCTGATGGTGGTAAGCACGCTGATGGTGGTGAGCACTCCGATGGTGGTTAAGCATGCTGACAGTGGTAAGCTGATGGTGGTAAGCGCACTGATGGTGGTAAGTGCAATGACGTTGGTAGGCGCTCTGGTGGTGATGGCGCTCTGATGGTGGTAGGCCCGCTGAAGGTGGTAGGTGTTCTGATGGTGGTAAGCGCTCTGATGGTGGTAAGCGCTCTGATGGTGGTAAGCGCTCTGATGGTAAGCGTGCTGATGGTGGTAGGTGCTCTGATGGTGGTAAGCGCTCTGATGGGGGTAAGTGCGATGGTGGTGGGTGCTGTGATGGTAGTAAGTGCTCTGATGGTGGTAAGCGCACTGATGGTATGTGTAATGATGTTGGTAGGCGCTCTGGTGGTGATGGCGCTCTGATGGTGGTAGGCCCACTGATGGTGGTAGGTGCTCTGATGATGGTAAGCACTCTGATGGTAGTAAGCATTCTGATGGTGGTAAGTGTGCTCATGGTGGTAAGTGCGATGGTGGGTGCTCTGATGGTGGTGGGTGCTCTGATGGTGGTAAGTGCGATGGTGGTGGGTGCTCTGATGGTGGTAGGCGCTCTGTTGGTAGTAAGTATAGTGATGATAGTAAGCACGCTGTTGCTGGTAAGCACTGTGATGGTGGTAAGCGCTCTGATGGTGTTAAGTACAGTGATAGTAAGCACGCTATTGCTGCTAAGTGCTCTGAGGTAAAATAGAGTGGATGAGAAGGACAATGAGTGCAGGGGGGCAGGGGCTATTCTAGTGTTCTAGATGTGGTGGCCAGCCAAGACCTCATTAATACCATGACATTGGAGGAGACACCTGGAGAAACCGAGGCCAGCTATGCAGATAAGTGGAGGAAGAGTGTTCTAGAAAGGGAAGTCAGAACGTGCACAGACCCTGAGGCATTACGTGCTCAGCAAGTTCGAGGTACTCCATGAAGGGCCATGGCTTCCATATTGTGAATGAAGAGGAGACAGAAGACCTATGTGAAGTGTGTGGGGGTGGGGACTAGATCTTGTCTGGTTTTATGAATCAATGTAAGGATTTGGGCTTTTACTCAAGGTGAAATGGAATCCTTTGAGGTGTTTCAACCAAAGGGGTGATACGATCTGTCTTAGGTGTTTAAAGGATCATGTGAGCTGTGTTGAGAATACATTCTAGGGAACAGAGACCAGGGGAAAGTACAAAGACCGGCAAGAAAGCTACTGCTGTAATCAAGACAAGATACTGACAGATGGTGATAAACGGCCATTGTATGCACGAATCTTGAATATGGAGCTCATGGGATATTCTGGTGGGTAAGCTGTATGATGAAAAGAGTCAAGGCTGACTTCAAGGTTTTTGGTCTAAGGAACTAAAAGATAAAGGTGTTTACTATAGGGAAATATAGTGGGCGAAGCAGGCTTGCAAGATCGGAGTCGGAGAGACCAGAAGTCTGAGAAGACGTTCGATATTCCAGAAGAGATGTTACATAGTCATAGTTACATACAGGGGAGATGTCAGGATTGGAGATGGTATAACCAGTGTTTGAACCCATGAGAAAGGAAAAAAGGGGTGGAAACTCTTTAGAAAAAAATCACATTTTTGCATTAGAAATGCTGAAGAAGTCATCGAATTGAGTCGTTGATGCCCTTTCTTTGAGAAGCCAGCATTGATAATTTACCACTTCGAACAGTTCTCATAGCGTGATGGTAGTGTTCTCTTAAATATCCACAGCCGGGAGCTCAGTACATTCATGGCAAGCATCATATGTACTCAGAATAACTAGCAGTATACAATCTGTAATAACATAACAGATTCAAGGAAAGGAGCCTGAGTAGAGAATGAAGGCTCAGTAGCCCCTGGTCCCACCAGCTAAGCTTAATTTAGTCCTAGAGCATGATGAGTTCTTCGATGAGTTTTCCTATTCATAGTATTTATTTGTATGTATGACTTTTTGCCATGTCATAATTTTCCCTAATTAAAGCATGGTAACACATGTAAGTAAAGGTATACTCATCTTCCTAACTCAACTTGAAACTCAATCATTCATTTTCTTTTTTCTTTACTTTTCTTTTTTTTTTCTGAGAAAGAGTCTTGCTCTGTCACCCAGGCTGGAGTGCAATGAAGCAATCTCAGGTCATTGCAAATCTGCCTTCTGGGTTCAAGCAATTCTCCTACCTCAGCCTCCCCAATAGCTGGGATTACAGACACCCACCACCATGCCTGGCTAAGTTTTGTATTTTTAGTAGAGACAAGGTTTCACCATGTTGTCCAGGCTAGTCTCAAACTCTTGACCTCAAGTGGTCTGCCCGCCTTGGCTTCCCAAAGTGCTGGGATTCCAGGCATGAGCCACCAGGCCCAGCCTCATTTATCATTTTTTTAACCTCTCCTAGCATTTAAGATTGTTTTTTAAAAATAAGAATATGTAATTTTAAGTTACATATACCATGCACAAAGCTCTGGGCTAGATAGTATTCAAAAAAATGTGTACATAGGTTAAACATTGAGAAAACATCTAGCAAGGTATTGCAAAATCTGACCACTTATACTTACATTGTAATAAGACCACAATTTAGTATTAGTGATTTTAATATTATGGATGATGTTATGGTTAGGCTTTGTGTCCCCACTCAAATCTCATCTTGAATTATAATCCCGATAATCCTCATGTGTCAAGGCAGAGACCAGGTGGAGGTAATGGAATCATGGGGGTGGTTTCTCCGTGCTGTTCTCATGATGGTGAGTAAGTTCTCATAAGATCTACTGGTTTTATAAGAGGCTCTCCCCACTTTGCACAGCACTTCTCCTTCCTGCCACCTTGTGAAGAAGGTGCCTTGCTTCCCCTTTGCTTTCCACCATGATTGTAAATTTCCTGAGGCCTCCCCAGCCATGATGAACTGTGAGTCAATTCAGCCTCTTGATAAATTACCCAGTCTCAGGCAGTTATTTATAGCAGTGTGAAAACGAACTAATACAGATGAATTTTAATATCAGTGTAAAAGCGGACATTTAGATTTCTTCTAACAGTCAATTTAATGCAGGTAGATTTGTAAGAGTTTCATGTTTTTTTCTTGGTTCTCACATAGTAATATTAAGTTCCAGGTTGGTTTTATGTTACAGAAGAATATATAAAGCAGGGAAAATATCGGAAGACTTATGGTATCAGTACAAACCTGCCATTGCCGAAAAGTTGTTTTCACAGACTAAATAAAGGTTGCATTGTAAACTGAATGGTACAGTATTGCTACTGAATCACTGAGTAAGACAGAGTGCTAGAGAAAGACCAGAAAAAACCCTGGGCTTTAAATCTTGTTCTTCCATTGATGAACTCTGTGACCTTGGACAGTACATACCTTAAAAGCTGGACGCAAAGAGAATCTCAAACACCATGCACAGGGCTGGGTACATTACGGGTTCTGTTAAAGAAAAAAAAATAGCTGTTGTTACACTTGGTCATTTAAATAGAAAACACTAGCTACCAGAAACTGCTGAACTGAGTCACACTTGGTAACAACATAACATAAGACAGTAAAGAGAAATGTCATGTTCTGAGAGGGGTGCCGCGTAAAGATAGGTTTTAAATACAATGCATACTGCTTACTTTATGTCTCAGGTGCACAGACATGAGCCATGTAACTTCTGTAAATGATCAGGCACTTTTTAGACCATTTTTATAGGATTTGGTATAGCCGTATGTTTCAAAGTAAGGTCAGTTTGTCCTGTTATGCTCTAGAGAAACTCGTTCTTGGGAAAGTCATTAAATCTGTTCTAAAATCAAAACAAAGTTCCAAAACAATTTTCTGTGCTCTGAAATCAAAGAAAAAGTAAATCGTACAACAACTTTTCAACAGGTCCAAAATCTCAGCAGTCACTCCACTGTGTTAGAGCCATCTTGTCCCTGAAAATGTAGGTACTCCAGTATTAAAATCTCAATTTGAGTTGCATCATTAGTGCAGCAGGCAGCATGTCAGTCTCACAAAGTCTTAATTTGAAAATTTCTCTGTCATGACCAAAATATTGTTCAATATAGCAACAACTATTATTTCAGCAAGGCAATTTGTAGGGCAGATTTGAAATATATTACTCTAGAGAAAAGAGGAAAATAATTTGGGGAATAGCAAAGTAAAAGTAAAATCATGTCTCTAGTATATGGTGAGAAGAGTAATATACACATATGTACATTTTTAAGATATGGTAGAGAAGTATCTAACTTAATCTGGGGCCATAGTAAAGTGGTAGGTTCTGTTTTTAGGAGACACCTCCTTCCTGCAGCTAGAACACATCCATCCATCTGTCCTCCATCTCCAACCATGCAGGTAGATCTGGTTCATTGATTAGCTGCACAAGAAATAAGAATCTGTTCTGCCTCCTCGAAAAATCCTGCTGTTTACAGCAAGCATCACTGCTTTATGAAGTGGCACATGTCTCTTACAAACAAAACAAACAGAGTAATTTGTTTTGAAGTAATTCCAAACTTACACAGAACAGTTACAAGAATAGTTAGAAAAGGTACAAAGTGCCTTCTCAGATTCACCAACATTATACATTTGCCATATTTACTTTTCAATATCTCTCTCTCTTTCTCTCACTCTTTCTCTCTGTCTCACTCTCTGTGTCTCCCTCCAATCAATACTTTAACGTTTGTTTTCTCCAAAGAAAATCAATGTCTTACAATAACTGTACTAAAACTTTCAAATTCACAAAATTTGTTTGAATGCTTTAATCACATGGCAGCATACCACATTTCAAATGTTGCCAGTGGTTCCAACATGCTGTGTTTTTCTTTATGCCGTATTTCTCTTTATGCTGTATTTGTCTCTATACTATATTTCTCTTTATGCTATATTTCTCTGATATACTTCTCTCTGTGCTATATTTCTTTTTATGCTGTATTTTTCTCTATGCTGTATTTCTCTATGTACTGTATTTCTCTTTATGCTGTTTTTCTCTTTGTGTTCTATTTCTCTTTATATTTCTTTCTATGCTGTATTTCACTTTACGTGATATTTCTCTCTCTGCCATATTTACCTCTCTCCTGGCCAAGGATACAACCCAGGCTCACACATGACATTGGGTGGTTCTGCCACCCTGGTCTCCTTTTATCTGAGTTGTTACTCATCCCTTGCTGAAGTTTCACAGCATAGATATTTTTAAAGAGTGCAGGTTTTCACATGTGCCTCTTGAACTTGAGTTGCACCGGAGGACCATCCACCCCTACAAGCTTACATTCCTATGATTTATTCCTTCCTGGGATTTTCATTGCCATGACAAGGGCTGGACTCTCCACTTCACAAAAGAAAACCTGAGCTGACACGCAAGAAGCACCAGAAGTGGCAGGAAAGAGCTGCTGAGATGTTTCAAAAATGCGTATCTGGCCCTTGAATTTGGGAATAGTTATAGAGAGGATGATGCATCATTGTTGAGGTTTTAAATTTTTTTTGTATCTGCCCTACCTAAGCCTACTCATCAAAACTAGAGGAACAGGCTCGTGTGACCCAAATTCAGCCAGAGAGGCAAGCAGCCAGCGGGTGGGAGGAGGCAGGGGAAGCAAGACAGGGCTGGAACAATGAGGAAGGACGGATGCCCCTGGTGGTTATCCATGAAAACGTTCTTTCCAGCCTCAGAGGAGGCACCGGAGCCAGGTCGAAAGCGCTGTTTAGAAGGAGGGCTAATGAGGTGTGAAACAATGCAAGTCTTGGCCCTCTGAGCACGGCTTTGGCAGGAACCAAGAAAGTTACTCATTTTTAGTGGTTCCCTGACTGCTACTTTGGGCGGTCCTACTGAGAATCAGGGGAAACAAGCTCATGCATTGTGAAATGGTCCTTTCCCTTGGAATGCTACAGATGACACCGCCAGATTTTTATTTACATTTCAGAAGGAAATGATTATTATAATAGGTGCGATTTTCCCTTATTTACAAACAAGGTTCTTAATTTTGAGTTAAAGTAGATTGTATGGTAATTTCTTATTACAAAGCAATGCATGCATAGAAAAAAGTTGGAAAATACATATAAAAATATTCAATGTTTTAATATCTTCTATATTTTAGTATATTTAGTATATTTCATACTTTTACAACTGAGAAAAATTACAGTTAACATCTCAGCATATCACGTTTCTTTTTCTATGTACATGTGCTGTAATTTTTATTCAAATATGATAAAATAATGTATCACTATTTTTGTTCACCTTTTTCATTTTATATATTGTGAATTTTTCAGTGTTAATAAGCATTCTTCAAAAGGTTTTCTCGGCTGAAGAGTTTTCTATTTTGTAACTCTGCCACAATTCACTTAATCTTTTTTTTTTTGGTTGGGAATTTAGAATATTTCTAGTTTTTGTTAATGCTATAACAGAAATTGCGATAAATACAATTATAGCTAGTTTTTTTCTAAATTTAATTATTTTATGATACTGTTGATAATAGAATATTCAAGAGTTAAAGGGGAAACATTTAGAAAATTATAGTATTCATATGTAATTTGCCCTATGTATATAAAAACATTATTTAAACAATGGAGTGATTCTTCTTGTAGCCCAGTGTCATTTGAATAGACAGCTTTGTTTTGGTATGTTTTCTGTTTTTCTCACCTTTTCTTATAATAACCTAACTTTTGCCTCCAGATGCCAGCAGCTTCCATGTTCCTTGCAGAGCCAAGTAAAGTTCTTTCAAAGGCAATGCCGTAGTCTCTGCTGTAGCAGTGGCTCCCTGTGATTTCTACAAATGCAGAAGGCCGACTCTTCCCATGATCCCTTGCAGAAGGCTGACTCTTCCCATGATCCCTTGCAGAAGACTGACACTTCCCATGATCTCTCCTGCAGCTTCACCTCTGACCACACATCCTCCCCTTCCTTCCCCTTCCCCATTTCTTCCACTGTCCCATTTTCAGTTAGTAAATGTCTGCTTTAAGGTTTGCTGTCTTTCCCCTTCCTCTGAGACCAGAAGGTACCCAGACACCCGAAGCCGAGCTTCAACCCCAATCTGGCTAATCACAGCATTTTTCTCAATTAGGATAGGTCTTTGCTCAGAAGGTTTTAATTGCAGCTGCTGGGAGAACACATTTGTGTTCATTGTGTTATGGCTTCCTGAGACAAGTGTATGAACACTTACTGCATGGTTGGTCTAGAGAGGTCTTCTTTGGACTGTGCATTGGTTTCTTGCATGGCCCAGGACTCAGTGAAGTAAGGGAGTGAAATGGTGATTTGATCTTATGTTACTCATCCTGATTTGGCTTTGAACATGGCCTTAGCAGGCTTCAGGACAGAAGTTGTGCAATTCAAGATGGTAAGAAGGCTGCTGGATCTTCATGAGGCAGATGAGGAGTAGAGGACAGAAAGGAAGAAATGCGAGTTTGAAAGAACAATTGACTTTTTTTTTTTTTTTTTTTTTTTTTCATTTAAAGCCTTAGTGATCCGTAACCCTGGAATTTCCAGGGAAAATGTGGGCAATTCTACCAGTGTTTTGTCTAATCACTGCATGGCAGATGCACCCAACAGCAATCTCTTAGGAAACGAAGGTTACCACATCGGGGTTCCTGGAGGGAGGATGTTAAGTGGAAATGCTGTATAAACTGCACGCTTTCTACAAGCGATTGTGATTCTGCAATTCTGTCTGCTGGCACTGCACCCCCCTGACAGGCCCCACAAATAAACCCTGTAACTCATTCACTGGCTCTGGGTCTCTTCTTCAGCCACTTGAACCTGCTGCCCTCTTTACTGAAGGTAATAGGGGTCTGGCACAGCCATCTCTTATCCCGTTCATTCCTTTCACAGCTCTGCAATCCTTCAGATTCAATCTCCTACCTTTCCATTTTTAGCTTTCTCACCCTCTTTCATCATCTTCCCCATCTTCTTTTTGCTAATCAGAGCAAAAGCCTTGATGTCCAAGGAGCACATAGAGTTGCTCTCTTTTCTTTCTACCGTGCCTATTTTAAGGTGAGGAAACTGTAAATGCGAGGCTTCCAGGGCTTCTCCAGGGTCTCACTCGCACCTGCTGATTTTAGAGCCAGACATGACACAAGGCCATTTGCCTCTAAGACCTATGCTTTCAGCAAAATTGATCACAGGCAGTGTTGTTGTTTAAATTCTCTAACAGCAATGGTTCTCAACTGTTAGTGTCACCTCAACGACCTGGGGAGTTTATTGAAATAGATTTCTGAGCCCCGCCCCTAGAGTTTCTGATTCAGTAAGTCTACATTGGGGGCCTAACATTTTGAAAATTTGCATTGATAACAACTTCCCAGGTGATGGTGATGTTTCTGGTGTAGAAGGGCTGCCCTGGAGCACTTTCTTAAAGATAAAAGTTGGAAGCTTTGATTCCTTGTGTTTCAAATGTTTGTTTCCAGTTGTTTTTGAAACAACAGCGATGAATTCACCGTGTTCTCTTCTGTTAGAATTGTCCTATCTACCACATTTCATCCAACTAAATACACAAATCCCTTTAGGTTTTGTTCATCTCTTGCCCAGATAGCAAATCAAATCAAGTGTATTAACTAATTCATTAAGCTAATTAACATAATAGGTAGCTTAATTAACTTAACCCTGTGGTTTGATTCCTCCCCTTCTCTGTATTACTGGTGGGTGAACAATGACTCTAGGAGGTGATTAAGTAGCTGGAAAAGGCAGAGGAGGCATTTCCTTTTTTTTTTTTTTTTTTTTTTGAGACGGAGTCTCACGCTGTCGCCCAGGCTGGGGTGCAGTGGCGCGATCTCGGCTCACTGCAAGCTCCACCTCCCGGGTTCACGCCATTCTCCTGCCTCAGCCGCCCGGGTAGTTGGGACTACAGGCGCCCGCCACCACGCCCGGCCAATTTTTGTATTTTTAGTAGAGACTGGATTTCACTGTGTTAGCCAGGATGGTTTCGATCTCCTGACCTTGTGATCCGCCTACCTCGGCCTCCCAAAGTGCTAGGATTACAGGCGTGAGCCACGGCGTCCGGCCCAGAGGAGGCATTTCTGATAAGGCACTCAGGGACTCTGGAGGTCTGTCATCAGCTTGTAAACCCCATTTCTTCAGTGATTCTGCTTTTTCTCTCATTTTTTTTCACCTCTTTCTTTGCCCGTCCCTCCTTTCCATCCAGTTCTCTTTGGCTACTTTTGGAATCTTCTCTTTGTCTTTGTTCTGCTGTTTCACCACAATATGGTCACCATTTTCATTATCCTGATTGGTTTTCCCTGAGCTTCCTGGATGTGGCTCTCACTTATAATATCTTTACACATGGTTTTTCCCTGACTGTTAAATTGTCTTTTGAAATCCTGACAAGCTGCATGCCTGTCTCTCTCCCTCTCCCGTGCCGTCGACACTCACATGCACAGGATTTTTTCCTCCTCTGTGCTGCATTTTGAAAAATTTCTTACATCTATTTTTTTTAATTTATTAATTCTGTGTCCTGAATTTCCTAATTTGTATTTTTTTATTTTAACTATTAGTGGTTTTATCTTCAGAAAGTTACATTATATATATATGTGTGTGTATGTATAATCTATATATATGTATAATCTATATATAGATATACACATACACAAATATGGATGTATAATTTCATCTCTGGGGGTTCTACTGGATTCATATACATACTCTGCATGAAATGCGTTTATTGCCTTCTTGTTCCATACTCGTGTTTTCTAGTCTTTCTTTTACTAATAGATATATGTTAAATATACTTCTTTTGTATCCTCTTTCCTATAAGCCCAGTTGTGAAATCTCTCCATCGACCGTCCGTTAACCTGCCTACTTCCACTCACGATGCCAGGTTTTCTCGTTTGGTTTGTGAATTGCTTTTCATCCTTTATGCAAACTTCTGTTCCTTGGAACTTTATCTTTGGAGACACTTGAAGACCTGGATAAAGGCAGTTTTTCTCCAGAGAGGATTTGTGTTTGCTTGGGTCACTACTTGGGAATATCTCTTGAATTTTAGAGGTCTTTAGAGCCATATAGGTATCATAAATTTAGGTTATAAACTCATGGGAAAGTGGACTTAAGGTTATAAATTCTTTGCGGTGATTTCTTCTTTCTCCCCACAGCACCAAGGTGGGAAAGAGCAAGTTCTTTTCACTCTTTCTGATCTCTTTTTCACAGTGAATTTACTATTAGTCAAGTCCTTAAGAGTGTATGTGACTTCTTGGGGGTTTCACCATTTAATACATATTTTTATATACATCATCTTCTATATATTATATATTATGTATAAATATTATATATTTGTGTATCATATCTTTGTCTATTTGTGTGAGTTTCCAGTTTCCATTTTGAGTGGCTGTAGGCTGTATCTGCTGTATCCTTTGCCCTCAGTGTATCCATCGAAGTAGAAGTTCCAGGTGATCAAGGTTTGCAGATGTGGTGAGGGGGAAACCTAGCTTCTGGGGCTGCTAATCTCTTAGGATTGCTGCTCTCTCCCCATCTGTGTCAGGGATTCACTCAGTGCTTGTGTTTTTTGCTAACCTTAATCAGAATTAGTTTCCACACATTGCCTATGTAGCGAAACCTTATATGAAGTTAGCTGTACCAATAATAGGACGTTATGGTAGGTTTGAGGGAAGAGATCGACAAAGGTCACAACAGATGGTTTTTTGAGAACCAGGAGGTAGTGAGTGGTTGGGTACCGAGTGGTAGCAGGGAGAATCCTGGTCCCAAACATTTCCATTTAGCCTGCAGCCTGTTCTGAGCTCCTGGCCCCCTCTGTTGGGGCAAAAGCTGTATTTGAAATTCCTACGTGACTATAAATGCTGGTATTCTCTCAGAAATCTTGTGATAACCTCTTGAGACATAAGAAGCATAAATCATGATTTCTGAAAGGATGTTCTGACTTTCATACACTCCCTTTCTGTGTGCTGAAATAATGAAGTTTGCCCAAGAGACCGAGTTATACTTTAAGTGTTTACCTGTTCTTTCAGCTAAAAACCACTTACTGATAAAGTAGGAGTGATGTGGGTTATAAGAAGAACCCAATTTTTATTTCTGCTTCTAAGATCTGCTCAGTCTGACGTTAGCGAAGGTGGCAAATGAAGGGCTCCACTTGGGGATTGTTGGTTCCATTGCTAGTGACTCACCCGTTCTCCACCTGCACAGGAGGCTGGGAATCACTGCCACTTACTCCCCTGGATTTGCTCAGGGACCCATGAGTCACAGAGAAGCAGCCAAGTGGAAAGTCTGGAAAAGGCAATGTACCCCAGTCAAGTGATCACCCATTGCATGTTACATGTGCAGATTCAGAGAACCGGTCTGTCTGAGCACCTTCTGCAATAACTTCAGTCTAACTTTCTTAAGGCTTTCTCAGAGTCCTGAATCATTACAACTTTTGAGGACATTATTCACAAAAAAAAAAAAAAAAAAAAAAAGGAAAAAAGGAACACAAAATAGAGGATTTAAAATGATGGTATATTTTCTAAAGCTTATTTAACATACGATTTTGTCGCCTTTTGCTTTCCCTCACAAATAAAGACAAAGCTGGCAAACCATGATTAATGCCACATATTGGATACTGACATCATTAACAATAAAAAAAAAAGTAGTGAGGTAAGATTCCATGGACTAAGGCCCTGCTCTGGTCTTTCCATCCCTCTGTGAGGCCGTCTCTTCCCCACACAGGGGCTGTGAATGTCTCACTTCCTGTACAATGAATGTTTTTCAGGGACAACATGGTTTCTACACAACTGGTTTATAGACACACACTCTCCTTTTTCTTATCAAACATTGTAGCGACAATCAAAGGAATATCTAATTTACGTAGCAGGACGACTGAGGTCTCAGAGACCACCTTTGATTTTGTAGTGGTTCAGAGAAAATATATTTTCTCTTGTCCAATCCAGTGGAAAAAAATGAGTTTATGCTTCCACATTTTTCTGAGATAACCTACACAATTTTCCATTAACTGATTAGACAAAACTGAGCAACTATTTCCAGAGTTGAGGAAGGAGTCCGAGGACATAGGAAAGATGGTCTCTGGTCTTTACAATGTACCATAGTTTTGAGAAGATATAATTGAATATTTGACAATGCCTTCAATAAACTACAAATGGATATTTAATTATCTCATAAAATCTTGGTTGTGAACATGAAACCTGGAGACTAAATGTTCCAAAACAGGCTCATTACCTCAGTGAATTTATTTGATCTTTATTTATTTATTTAATCAATTCTCAGCACATTGATGCCTCCCCACATGACTGCAATATCCCTGCACCAGCTTCAAGCATTAAGTTTTCTCAGAGCGAAGTCTTACGCAAGAAAAAGTGGGACAGGTGGAAAAAAGGACCTCTACATGGGAGAGCCTTCAATTTTTAAAATAAGTTGCTGCTTCTTATGCAATTAGATTAATGCATGCATTAATTCATTTCTCCGACAAACATTTATTGAGCACCTACTATATCCCAACCACTATTAGATGCTAGCCATAAAATAGTGAACAAGATAAATATTTTCTCTTCTTATCTGGCTTTTAACTAGGGTTAGCAAAACACAAAGAAGATAACAAATATTCTCTGAACATATCACATATTTTTCCAGCTGATAAAATAAATAATATGATTAGATTTTTGCTTTAGGTCCATTGCCCTGAACCAAAATAGGATGAGTAGTTAGAAGATTATGAAGAATAACAAGATGTATATATTAGTGAATAAATGCAAAAGAAAAATCATTGAGAAATCAAAGATGTTGATGTTTACGTAGTGCCTTAGGGTTTACATACATCATTCCACTTATGTTTTGATACAGTGTTCAAATGAGGGAATTGGGATTTAGAATCATTAATTGATTTTAAGATTTAAACTAGGTAATATATCTTCTGGATGGTCTGGTTGAGGCAGGAAGTCAGGTCTTCTGATCCATCCTATTATGTTATCTGTGTCTTTTACTGTCATTTAGTGCTCTGTCCTTATTTTCATGCTCAGTTAGACAATTCAGGTCATAGACTGATTTATCAAGGATGTTTTTTCAGCATAAGTTGGTGAAATGATTTCTGGGAATTTTGATGAACCCTCACTCATTCACTTTCATTCTCTCTTTTTCCTCTTAAACTCCAAACTTTCCTGATTCTCTTAATGAAACAACACCCCAAGCAAAAATAGTAATAATAAAGTATATTATTCAAATAGCAACCTATTTCATAGAAATTTCATTGTCAATGGACTAGTCCAACAGAGAGACCTCAAGGCCTGTGTCTTTACTTTCTGACTTACTCTGTCCTCTTGAATTGAGCGGCCTTTACTGCAAGGCTTAAAGTAGAGCTGCGAAAATCTTTTGCTAGAATGAAGTCCTTTGCATTTTTCCAATTTGTGGAAGTTGAGAGTAGGCTGAACGTAATGCTAAGTGGAAAATGAAAGAAGGATATTGGGGACAAATATTCACTCACAACTTCAGGGAGTTAAGAATGCAACACTGCCTTTCTCTTATTTGAAATAATTTCTGAATTCCCATACTGCTGAGAGACAGAAAATAAATATCAGGCTATTCGGAGTCCCTTCTTCACTTTTCCCTACCCCATTTTTCTTGTAGTTTTATCTTTATATTCCAGGGTATCTTCCTGGAGACAAGGTGTGAGGAAGGAGAGAGGGAGGAGTCTCAGAGTCACCTATGCATGCTGGTTTCTCTCTTGGTATGTTTGGTCTGTGGGTCCTTTGAGTTCACAGCTACATTCTGTATTCTGACCACAAGCCTTTTGCCCATGTGTCGACTTTCTGGTCCACAGAACCGTTCTTTCTAGGTACATCTTGCCCATGTTTCACCTGCTCCTCCACATGACTGGGCAGGAGAAAGGTAGCACATTCTGACCCTTTCCAGATTGCACTTTGCAGGCAGGGACAAGCATCCCCTCTGTAATCTCTGCTACTCCTGAATTACCAAATATATTTAGGAATCTTGTCATCATTATCATCACGTCTCCAGGTTTCAGAATTTCAGAGGCAGTGTTTTTTTTTTTGGAGGGGTGCAGTTGCGGTGGGCAAAACTAGGACCTTTCTCTCAGCATCAAACCAATAACTGATACCTGGCTACAGCCTCTTGGGACACACTGAAGCTAACACTGGGTTTTAGACAATTTGGAAAAACTGACTGTAAATGGATGACACATTTTCTATGTAAATTGCTTATGGTGTACATGTTATTTATTTATCTATAGAATTTTTTCTACCAATGTTTTAAAGCCCAGTTCTGAACTCCAAGACTTGCTGAACTGGGTTTGAAGTAAAATATTGGAAGGAAACATCAGTGAGGGGCAGGAGATCTTACGTTTAAGACTCAACCTGCTTGGGTTTAAATCTGAGCTCCTTGATTTGATAGCTGTGTGTGGTTAGAAAAGCCATGCTCCTATAAGGACATACCTGAGACTGCGTAATTTATAATGAAAAATAGGTTTAATGGACTCATGGTTCCACATAACTGAGGAGGCCTCACAATCATGGCAGAAGGTGAAGGAGAACCAAAGTCATGTCTTACATGGCGGCAATCAAGAGAGTGTGGGCAGGGGAACTGCTCTGTAGAAAACCATCAGATCTTGTGAGACTTATTCACTACCATAGGAACAGCACAAGAAATACTGGCCCCCAAGATTCAATTACTTCCCACTGGGTCCCTCCCAAGATGTGGGAATTATGGGAGCTACAATTCAAGATGAGATTTGGGTGGGGACACAGCCAAACCATATCCCTACTTAACACCTGTATGCCAGAGGTAATTCAGTTGTCATCCTGTTTCATATGATTGTTGGGGGGATTGAATCATAGACTTTAATAGTGCCAACAGTAGCACCCAGTATATACTAGGTAACAAAATAGTAGTCAATATTTTACTAAAGTATTAAAAAATAGGAAAAAAGCAAACTATTTCTTGTATACTTCTTGTCAGGTAGTTTTGTATATTTTATTATAGTCAAAGAAGAACAATTCTGAAGCTATGGTAGGTCATATTACCTTATCAAATGTTAGAAAATAGATTCAAATACATTATTTAATTTATTTAAGTTAATAAGGTGGTTAGACATTTGAATTCAGGTCTTTATGTTGCCCAAACTCATAAGAATCCACATTCTACAGATAAAGGATCTTAGACATAGATTGTTTATGAAACTCCCCCAAGCATACACAACTAGCAAGTGAGACAACCTGTTTTTAGGTAAGGATTATTCTGATTACAAATTACCTAGTAAAAGTTAGAATATGTCACACAGCTTAAAAACTGTGTTAAACAATTGTCCTAGTTAATTTTGTGTTGCTATAACAGAATAGCACAAACGGGATAATTTATAAAGGAAGGAAATTTATTTTCTATAGTTTTGGAGTCTGGGAAGTTCAAGCATGAGGATCCTGATTCTGGCGAGGGTTTTCTTTCTGCATCGTTATTCCATGGTGGAAGGCAGATGGGCAACAAGCAGAGAGAAAGAGAGAGAGAGACAAATTCGCATTTATAGCAATCCATCATCTCAATAATGATACTAATTCATTCATGAGGGCAGAGAACTCATGACCTAGTTACCTCACAATGGCAACAAAATCTATATATCTCAACATGAGTCTTGGAAGGGACATTTAAACTCATATAGCAAAAAATAAAGAAAAGATATGATCGTATGAAACTCAAAGTGTGGAAGTGTCAGGAGAACCTCTCTGCCTTACTCCCTGCCATCCTCGCTGAGCCAGCTGCTCCCAAGATGGTCACAAGAGCGTGGCTCCAGGCTTCACCTCTCCACAGGATCAAGACTAGGGAGAAGAGCATCTCTGCGTCATGATTTGTTTTGTAGGGTGGGAGAAAACATTTCCTGAAAAGATGTTTTTCACATTCCGTTTCATGACCAGCATAAAGTTACATGTACATTCCTCAGGAACAGATGGTAGGTTAAGTAAAAGGGGTTTGACTGGCTTAGATAGACTCCTAAAGATTTTACTTCCAGGGACAGGAGAGGTGGCTCACACCTGTAATCCTACCACTGTGGGAGGCTGAGGCGGGCGGATCACCTGAGGTCAGGAGTCTGAGACCAGCCTAGCCAACATGGAGAACCCTCATCTCTACTAAAAATCCAAAAATTAGCCAGGCGTGGTGGCGCATGCCTGTAATCCCGGCCTGTACAACAGCCTCAGGCAGGGCCTTCAGGAGGGATTCCAGAAGAAGGCATCGTTGTCCTAGAAAATGACAGTTCCACGCCTGTTACTGCTCCTGAAGACCTTCCAATGGGACAAGATGCAAAGATGGAAGAAGTCATGTTGATTATTCTGACCCTGTGTTGTAGGCCTAGGCTAATGTGTGTGTTTCTGCCTTAGTTCTTAACACAAAACTTCAAAAAGTACAAAAAAATAATAAAATAGAAAAAGCTTATAGAGTAAGGATATTAAGACTGAAAATATTTTTGTACAGCTGTTCAATGTGTTTGTGTTTCAAGCTAAGTGTTATTACAAAAGAGCCAAAAGCTAAATAGAAGTTTATAAAGCCAAAAAGTAAACTAAGTCAGCTTACAGGAAGTTAAAGCTAATTTATTACTGAAGAAAATATTTTGTGTTACAAATGTAGAGTAACCTAAGTGTGCAGTGTCTCATTTTTTTTTTCTTTCTTTCTTTCTTTTTTTTTTTTTTTTTTTTTTGAGATGGAAGCAGCTGGGCGCAGAGGTTCATACCTGTAATCCCAGCACTTCGGGAGGCCGAGGCGGGCAGATCACGAGGTCAGGAGATTGAGACCATCCTGGCTAACACAGTGAATCCCCGTCTCTACTAAAAAATACAAAAAATAGCCAGGCATGGTGGCTGGCGCCTGTAGTCCCAGCTACTCAGGAGGTTGACGCAGGAGAATGGCGTGAACCTGGGATGTGTAGCTTGCAGTGAGCTGAGATCGCGCCACTGCACTCCAGCCTGGGTGACAGAGCGAGTTTCTGTCTCAAAAAAAAAAAAAAAAAAGAGATGGAGTCTTGCTCCATTGCCCAGGCTGGAGTGTAGTGGTGCACTCTCGGCTCACTGCAAGCTCCATCTCCCAGGTTCAACCGGGTTCAAGTGATTCTCCTGCCTCAGCCTCCCGAGTAGCTGGGATTACAGGTGTGCACCACTTTGCCTGGCTAATTTTTGTATTTTTAGTAGAGATGGGGTTTTGCCATCTTGGCCGGGCTGGTCTTGAACACCTGACCTCATGATCCACCCACCTAGGATTCTGAAAGTGCTGGGATTACAGGCGTGAGCCACTGCACCTGGCTACAGTGTTTCTACAGCAGTGCACAGCCATGTCCTTGGCCTTCACACGCACTCACCGTCCACTTACTGAGTCACCCAGAGCAACGTCAAGGCCCACAAGCTCTGTTTATAGTAAGTATCTTATATAGGCATCCCATTTTTTTTTTTATCATTAAACAGTGTTTTTACCTTAGTTTTTCAATGTTTAGTTAGGTTTAGATACACAAATTTCTTACCATTGTGTTAGAGTTGCCTGCATTATTCAGTACAGTCACATGTGGTGTGAGTTTGTAGCCTAGGAGCAAGCGGCTGTACCCTATAGCCCAGCAGGCTCTACTATCTAGGATTGGGCAAGTGCACAGTGCACTGTGTGATGTTTGCAAAACGTCAAGAATCGCCTAAGGAAGCATTTCTCAGGACACATGATGCATGGCTGTATTCACTAATGGGTAAGCAATCAAACTGTGTGCCTTAATCATGGCTCAATCCAGAAAGGCTGAGTAGGCAGCACAGTTCTAATCACACCTTTCATTTCATTTGTTGGATGTGCAGTTTGAGGTGTCCCCAGTACCACTCTCGAGTTAAGTAATTTGATAGAAGGCTGCACAGAGCTCAGGAAGGTCATTATGTGCATGGCTATGGCTTGTGACAGTGAAAAGAGACAGTTTAAAGGCAAAAAAGGGAAGAGGTACATGGGCAGAGTCCGGGAGACAGCAGGTTCAAACTTGCGGTTGTCCACTCCCAGTAGAGTTGTGCCGACAGCATTAATTCTCCCAGGAATGACGTGTGACCCCACGCACAGAGGATTGCAGACCACAGAAGCTCTCCTGAGCCTCGGTGCCTATAGAAGTTTAACTGGAGTTTGTCACAGAGTGTCACACAGGCATGCTGTCCACCCACATTGCTGACCTTAGTCTTCAGTCCTACCAGAGGGGTGCTCCAATACCATGTGGCTGGACCAAGTGGCCAAAGGCCCCCACCATTAATCACGTGAACACATAGACTATCTGCTGTGGCCTAAGGTCCCCAGGTAAACGAAGACACTCTCATAAGCTAGGACATTCCAAGGGTTTAGAGGCTACTTCCCAGCATCAGGTCAAGAACCAAACTTCTAACGGGCAGGGCACGGCCCCCTCCCCCCACCACCCCCTACCCAGATGTGCTGAGTCAGCCCTTTATTTCACTGACAGTAATCCCAGATAAAACATTTACAGACATTTTATATAAGGGTCATGCATATTCATCTTCATGTTTCATACTGAATCCACTTGAAATGGAATGATATATTTTATGTATTTTATGCCCTATGCATTTTAAATAGTTTTGAATACATACGTCAGGTTTCTTCTCTGTGTCTATGATGTTCACAGCCTGATATTTAACACTTCATAGCTGGTTACAAGCTATGCATCAAGTGGATACTTGAGAAGTAATATCTGATTATAAAGCAATGCCTATGGGGTTGCTGAAGGGAAATCAGTGTTTACATGACATTTCCATTTTTAATTGAAGGATCATTGAATGTTTTCAGATTTATATACACTATTTTCATGTCTTAAGATTGAAAAATATGTCATTAACATTTTTTAAATTAGGAAATATTAATTTATCCTTTCAAATTAAGATGAAAATTTAAGTAGCTAAAAATGAAATGAACTTTTGACGTGCGTGCACCACTAATACAATTGTCCATTGTATTCTGATGCCATTGCATCTGTATTTGACTTCTAAATTGGGAACAGACTTGTATTATACATATGTTAGATATTATTTGCATTATCCTGCCGGGAGTAGCAACCATTCACTGTGAAGTCTTGCCTAGTTTGCAAACTTGTCAGTCTCAAGAAAATATGGCAGGACCAAAGACACCTTTGACACAGTGCACCTCTGAGTCTTATGTATGACACGATGCACTTCTGAGTATGCATTTTCCACATAATTTTATGTGGTACTTCTCAGTGTCAGAGTAATTTATGTTATATCCAATGTAGACATTTTAAGTTATGTTTTATTTGAGTTCTGTGAGAAAAGGTGTGTTCATCATATATGATGTTTAATGATTTACTGTCTATAAATTCTTGGTAACATAAAGTTAGAGAAATAAATGTTAAAACAATGACGTCAGCAACTATTTAATAAATTAGTGTTGGGAGTCAACAGGGCAGACTCTAACACTAAAAGTATCAGTTAGTAGGACACTCACTGAGGAAACATATCTCTCAGGTGCGAGAGCACCCACTTTTCAAAGTGTTATTAAAGTGTAATTTATACTTCTGAAATGATCATTATAATTTTGAAGCCCCTTGCTTCATTTTGTTGTCTGCCATTCTCAGAGAACTTCCTTCTTAAAACAGGATCACTAACCAGGAACATAATCTCTGAAGGGGAACCAATAGACACAGATGTCTTTGCACCTGAAACAGGAAAGCAAATGGAGACTGCCAAAAACAAAACAAGGGCAGCAAAACTTGGCAAGGACATTGGTGTGGTCATCTTTTTAACTGAAGTCATTCCTGTGCCTAAATAGTACTGATGGATGAATCATTAGGGTGACAGTTATTTAATTATTTTTTAAATGTAAAGGAATTCTTTCAGGAGAATTAGCATTACATTTAGGTAGTAAATCCAGAATCATCATCTTTATGCAATTTTTTAAAAAAGAAGCCAGACATCCCACTTGTTCTAACCAATACTCATCTTCAACGCCCATCACAATCTAAGGTTTTATCATGACATGTTAATGAGATATATGTAGGCACTTTTGGTGTTTTTCTCATTAAAAAATAATCTCCTATAACATGGACATATCCCAGGGGTAGTCTTTAATTTTGATTCAATAAGTCATTGAGGATTAAGTGGGGATGGGGGGGTGTCAGGGCTGAAGGTCCAAGAAGGCGAACGGGGCTTTACCTATGAGATGGAAGAATGCCTCCAACCAACACTGTTGATTTAAGATGCATTATCAAATGGTTAAAGCCCAGCCCTAGAAATGATTGCATTTTCTAAAATTATTGCCAAAGTAGTTCTGCCTTTGCTATAGCTCTTTGAATTTTTTAAAATAAATCCCTTTTCTCTAGCAGGAATGTTAAAGAAAATGTTTGCTCAATTTTATTCTGGTAATAAAAGCAACAATAACAAAATCTGAAGAGAAAAAAACAATTACTTTCTTATGTAAATAATGCTGATTGAATGATGAGTTAACCTATGGTTAGAGAATCAGTAATTTCTAAGTGTACAATGTGTAACTTGAGGCTACTATGTTGAAATTTGTTAACATACAAAGAGGCAGTGATCTGGGGGGTTTTGCTTCGTCAGTCTACTCTGCATAAAGTCAGGTTATCTTTGGACCAGGGGGGAATTCACGTTTTAAAGATAAATTAAGAATGTCAAGTCACTTGTTGACCTGTTAGTGCCTAAGGCAGAGAAATCCCAGTTTACTTCAAGATAAATCCTTTGAGAGCGCTTTATTTAATCAAATGCTATTCTCAGAGAGTTTTTCTCGAACAGTAAAATTTCTTCCCTCCGTCTGACGACTTCAATCTTCCATTATTCCACCTGAGCTGGACTGGCTAAAATCACCAGTGATCTTCAGTGTTGCAAAACCGATGGATCCTTCCCTGTCTTCTACCGATTTGGCTTCTTAGCGTCATTTCAAACTGTTTGCAAACCTTTCTATTTTGGAACATTTTCCTATCTGGAATCCCCTAAGCTATTCCCGGCCTATCTGCCTGCTCCTCAGCCTCTGTGTTGTTTTATCTGCCTATTCTTGACCTCAAAATGTTCACAACGCTCCAGGCTCAGCCACGGGCTGGCTTCTTTGCTACTCCAGTCACTGACTACCTCACGTGTTGCTTTCTTACTGTGTGACAGTCTCTGTGCAGACTCAGAATGAGAACAATAAACCAGACAGAAAATCCGCTGCTACCATGGGCCTACATGATAGTTGGAAGGGTGCTGAGTCGACGAAGGATACAGTTTGTGATCGTGTTACGTGCTGTCCACATAGCAACATAAAGCAGGTAGATAGAGAAGGGGAAGGAGTCCTGCCGGTTTAGCCAGGGTGCACAGGGAGGGCCATTTTGCAGATGACATCTGAGCTGATACCTGTGTGCTGAGCAGGCTGTGACAGGAAGACCTGGCTGAAGAGTATTTTGGGTGGAAGGAGCGGCACGAGCAAAGAAGCATGATTGCGTTTTCAAGGGTTCAACATGGTGCTGAGTCCCATTCTAGGTCACATCAATGATTCCCATGCTTTTCAGTCTCATCTCTTGGAAGAAAGTGAATACCATGTTTCTCTAAGAGATCTCGGCTCTCTAATCCAGACACACATGCATATAACCAACAGACCAACTGAGGTTTCCTCTTGGTTGCCTGTGGGGATCTGAGATCAGCAATGGAACTCTTGACCTTCCAAATCGTGATGTGTTCTTCTATTGCTTTAGCCACCATGGTGAGTGCTACCACCGTTGGCTCAGTGGCTTCAGAGAGGCAACTCCATTTCCCTCAATTCTTGGAAGCAAACCACTCACACATTTCTCTCACATTTTTTCTCGAACGCAATGAAATCTGTCTGCTGCCCTTCAACCCTCACTCAGCATGCCAGCCCAACACTTCACCCTTCTGTCTGAATGACTTCAACATCCTCCTCTCCTTCTTCCTCTAATTGGCTTTGCCTGGGTCTGTAGGAGTAGCGACGATGAACTGTTTAACATATAAATTGGACCTTCTCATCTAAGCATCTTTCATGCTTTCTCCTTTTCTTCTTTCTTGTTCTCAAGTTTCAGTGGTTTGGGCCAATTCATCTTTTTTCGGATCTTTGAATACTCCAGTCTCGTTCCTTCCTGAGGGCTTGGCTTCTGCTGTTTACTGGGCAAGAGGGTTTTTAAATTCACTCTTACCTTAGGTAATTCCTGCCCATCTTTTCCATTTCAGCTTAAATGTCATTTTGCATCAGAGTCCAACTGTGACCCTATCCAAAATCTGATGCTCCCCCATCTAGCTATTAATTTCTCCCTCCCAGGAGCTGACGGAGAGCCTGCCTGTACCAGGCATTCAGTCAATATTTCACTGACTGGATGTTGAATAACTAAATAAAACTGGCTACAATTAACTTTCTATTTCTCTTTTAAAGTGTTATTTCCATGGGGATTTTGATCTCTAATGTAGAAAAGTAATCATTTGAAATGTTTTCTTTTTACAAATAAAACTCTGGGGCCTGTTCAAATATACGTCAACATTTTTTGCCAGTTTTTAAATATAATTCAATAAGACTGTAGGCAACAAACAAACACTGTGACAAGAAAATTTTGAATCTACTTTTTTCTAAGTGAAAAGGCACGATTTCCTGTACAACTAGTTTTGTTTGTGGAGACATCAAACCCTGTGTTTCTGACGGACCGAAGTTATGTCTTTTAGCCTTTCCTTATACTGTGCAAGTAATCTGTCTTTTTGAAATGAAAGGTGTGTGTTTCTTTTGGCATATAGTGTTTTACCTTTATTCTTTCTGTGCCGATCATGTGGTCTTTTCTATCTCCGTAATCTCTTATAAACTTGTGTATTATAACATTCCTTGATAAAATAATCCTGAGTATAGGAATCATAGAGATTGACTCATGGTATATTAAAGTTGAAAGAAAACACTGAAATAATTTAGTCTAAACTGTTTACAGGAGAAAAAGATGAGGAGCTGATATTTGCTGTAACGTTGTCTTTATTGAGCAATGCTAGGTGTATTGTGTATTCCATGTCATTAAATTTTCCCAATAATATTGTATGGTTGATATTTTAAGGGAGAAAGCCCTTATATATAAAATTTCCAACAATAACTATATGTAACTAAATACACATATAAATAATGGAGGACGCTGTATCTGAATGTCAGCTGAATGCATCAGTGAAAGAAAATAATATTAAGTAAGAGTCTCTGCTTTCCATTAAGCATCTTATTCAGAAAGGGTCTTCATGGTTTGACCTTTGCCTCAGTAACTGACCTGGATTTTCTTGTTTCTCAGTTGAAGCTGTTCCCCTTTACAAGCAAGTTCCCCTGCGTCCTGCGAACATCCCGGGTTCTTTCTGTCTTTGCTCACGTCATGCCTGAGGTGTCTCCTCTGCACACCCCTTCTTCCCCCGACTTCTCACTCCTCTTGTGTCGATAACTGTCTGTTCCCCAAGGCTTGGAATTCCTTGAAGCAAAGGTTAGAATTCTATTTTATCTTTTTCTTTCCCTTTTCTCTATCCTCCTTCCCTTCTTTATCTTTTATTCTTCTTTTGTTTCTCATTCCTACTCTTTTTATTCCTTCTCTTATTTTTTCCTGCCTGTCTTCGTTTTGAATAATCTTTTTAAAAAAACTTAGATTATTTGGGTTACTAGAACCACTTAAGAAAGAGAGAGATGAGAGTTCTTGGCTCGGACACGTGTGCCAAAACTAGGAAGCCACTAATAATTTGGCTGTAGGCGCTGGTCACTTTTCCGTATGGCTCTCATGAGCTGTGACGTGATCTGCAGGGTGCCTACACTTCTTTCTGTGAGTCTGCCCCTTCTCGGGGCGCCTGTGAGGATGCCCATGCCCTCCCCTCTGCGGGAGCTGCCTCCCTCTGAGACACTCCCTCTTCCTCCCCCTGCACTTGCCATGATGCCCAGTGGCTGCCGTGGCCCAGTGGCATCCAACCAGCTCTGGCTTTCATCACTAAGGGCTTCATATTACTGTGTGCATCATAGCTAAAGTTCTCCAAGAAGTAATCCTTAAGGATTTTTTAAAATAATTCAAATTCATGACTTACGGTTAATGGAAGCCTTGCCCTATTTGGGCCAAGTCCCCATGACTACGGGCCTGTGCTCTGGTAAACAAGGAAGGGGCGTGAGGTCACCCTCGGCCGGTGTGGGCAGGCAGGATGGTTCCAGAGAAGTGTGCATGGGCTGCAACCTCTGCTGGGCTTTTGTGATTGTTTTTCTCTTTAAAGAAAGAACTATTCTCATTGTAGAGCATTATTAGAACACAAATTTTAAAAATAAAAATACAACCGCGTTGTTACAATGGTAGAGATTCAGTAACCAAAGGGGGGTTTACACGTCAACAAAGGTGAAGACAGTATATCCTGCAACACTGCCGGTCTTTTTCTATGTTTCTTTTATTTAAAAAAATAGAATTACACCACGTTCTGTTTTTTAATCTGCTTTATATTACATTGCCCTTTTGAATCTTTTACATAGGAATTCATATTAGATATATAAGGTAAGCTCAAATATTAGCGAAGTGTGAAGTACTTCTCATTTTCCTTTTCAACTTGTGGTATCTGAATGAATATTATCTCCTTAAAGCTCTCCTAAAGGTCAAAAGTGAAAACAGTGAATTAATGTACAAAGAACAATGTGGGCTTTGAAATCAGACACCTTAATATATTTATCAGCTAAATAAACAAGATGTGCTGGCTGAAATTCCAACCCTCACTTTTCTCATTTCTTCAGCAAAGTAATAATTCCCTCCTAAAGATTTTGTGACACTTAAATTATGTAATACATAAAAACGTGCTTACCATAAAACATTGCATATGTGATCACCCTTCCTGTTTTATTATTATCTCATAGTTCCCTATAAACATTAAAGTTTACACTATAGAATATAATATTAGATTGTTACCTTTTCCACATTTACAGATACCTGTAAGTAATGTACTATGATGAGGAACATACTAAAAGTAGTCTCATATATTCAGGTGAGGTTATATAAATAAAAATAATAGCACGACTTTAAATAACCTACATAGTCTTCTCAGTGCATGTTAATGTCTGTGATTTCAGGACTCGAGGTGATATGCCGTGATTTCTTTAAGGATATATATAACTTAATAATTCATGATCTGTGAAATTGAAGTCTTAACGCACGTATTATAGCATCACGTGTTAAATTTTACTTCTCCCAAGTGTCTTGCAGCTAGGTATTTTCAAAATGGGCATGAACAGCTGCACAGAAGGTTTTTATCACAATCTTAAACTCAGTTCTCTCAATTTTGCGTCTGCAAAATATCTGAATAGCATATAGGGTGAAATTGCACTGCACATATTCTAAGAGAATTAAATTTTTGAGTGACTACATCAAATGGAGTTATTGATAGGTTAATTACAATGTTAAACTATCACAGCAATTCTCAACCAGATAATTTAATATTTCTGCTCTTTAAAAATGCCTAAACTCCTGAGGAAATACTTGAACTTATTTCCTTTTATATATCGTACTATGGTAAACAAATACTAAACACTGTATAACTGTGTATTTAAAACTGTATAATATACTAATATTTAATAAAGCCTTAATATTAAATATTAATTTATTAATACTTATATTTATGTATTTATGTAAATACACTTATTTATTGTATATATTTACTTTGATATATAAATTATATTTAGTATACATAGTATTAAAGTTTTAATGACACTATTCTCTTATTCTGAATACATAGGTAATATATATAAAAGTAATAAAATATGTCCATAAATTACATAATACATACTTATATCATCCATATTTACTGTATTGGAATGTACTTATCCTGAAATCACTAATGAACTATAATCAAAAAGAAACTTTCTGTGGGGACTCATCATTCAAATCATATCTCATGGTTTTCTAAATCTAGGGAATGACAAATAAAACTTGAAGATTTAATTATTATATTTTACATAAATATTTAAATACATTATGTTTAACTATAACTATATATGTTTCTAAAATATATAACGACTTTAAGACTTTTTCCCATTTCTTTCCACATTTTTAAGTTGCTGGCCTGAATTACAGATTCTATGCAAAGTAATATAAACTGGCCTAGTCAAATGCTACTTTCACTGTGAGGAGACCATGAATAATTGGGCATCCTGTAAGATATTTTTGAGTGAGCCCCCAAAACTATTTCTGAGTCTTAAGTCTAGAGTTCTTAAATGTGCAGAAGGAGACTAGAGCAGAAATGACAGGCCCTAAGTCCTCCAGCTAAGCCGGTGCTCTCCCCAGGTGACAGTCACTCTGCATTTGCGGGAGCCAGCCGGAGGCATAGAGACGTCGCTCTTTGGTGCTGCCAATATACATTCCGGTGAACATCTCAGAGCACCATGTGGAATCAGACAGATGGTGATGAGGACGATTCTCCAGGCTCTTATAAAATGTTCAGTGCCATTAATTTTGTTAAGGTCATTTACACTGACTTTATAGTAGAATATTCCTATTTTTTATTTTATGTGTATAGTAAATAAACATCTTGGCTTAATTTGAAGCTTTATAAGGAAAACATTTTCTCTTTGAACATTTACTGCTACCGTGATATATCAGTTGGAAAGATAATTGTTAATATCTGAGCCCTTATGAAAAATCTACTTGTTTTTCCCTCTGATAGAAAAATAACCTAGGGCAGGCGATGTTAAAAATAAATAAAGACTGTAAGAATCTGCAGTGTTCAAAACTACTGAGATCATAGGATCTCTGTAGGGAGTAGTAAGAATAATGTTGAATGACTGAATTTTAGGAATGCCAAATCGTTTTATTTTTTATGTACAATAGAGTTATTTTTTTTAGTGTATCATTTATATATTTTAGGACATAGCATTAGAAGCTGAAATGTATTTTTTAAAAATAAATTACTATAAACTAAAAGAGAGCTTGATTTAAGACCATGGCAGTTGAGTTAGAGACCAGAGAACATGGGTAAAATTGGGGCATATGAATTATGATAATAGGTGATCAACCCCTTGTGTTTTAAAAGTCAGCACATGAAGGTATGTAGTGGGAGAGGAAAGAGGGGCCAGACAAAAAAATCTGGCAATGTAATAAGTTAAACACTTGGAAAATGCAGCCCTTGTCTCTCACTCAGGGTTGGAAGCTCTTCACGTCCAATTGGAGATCCATTAGTATGAGATCTAAAACAATACGTATAAAAGCAATATGTGCTGAGCAACTTACTTCTATGTGAACTATTCATTTAAAGCTTCTAATGTTGCTCCGATAATAAGAGTTTATCATCCAAGTGTCAACAATTCTTATTTTACCTGTTTATATAGAACTTGTAAACATTTGTTTACTACTATGAGAGAAAAAACAGCTACTGCTAGAGACTGTACAAATATTCTGTAAAAACAGCAAAAAATAAAAAAAAAACTGTTATGCATGTAGAAATGTCTCGTAGGATGCTGTAAATCAAAATTATCCTCTTATGGCTGCAAGAAAGAAATGATTACCATGGCAACATTTTCTTATTGTTCAAATTGTCATCTAATCAAGTTATTAGTTTTTGAAGAAGGGTGTGGCATGACAAAGTTTCATTCTTGCTGAGATATAAACCTCCTGCAAATCAAAGAGGAGAAATTTATTAAAATAGAGCTATTACTTTTCAATTCAATGAGATAATACTGAGTCTACAAAATGCTGAAGTAAAAAGCTGTCATTGTTGACATATTTCAAACTGAGTAAAGCAGGAAGGTCTGAAGTCTAGAGTGTCCCTCAAACACATATCCTAGAGTGGGCTGTCACTCAAACAAAGCTCATCAATACACTGGGGAGACTGCTACTAAAAATTTCAATGAGAACATGTTTTGTATAACCACTTTCCTGATGGTTATGCAGATAAAAACATACGTCACCTCTCTGAAGGCTTAAATGGTTACAGTTTGTCTCAAAACTGATCCAACTGAAATACATCTGTACATCTTTGAAGAAACAAGTACCAACAATGAAAATAGACAATAATAATCAATCGTAAGTGCCTTCGTGCTAAAAAGTGTGAGTTTATCTAAATGGCTCTTATATTGGTTTATTTATTCCAAATATAAATCAACGTTTAACTTAAAATGACACCTTACATAGAGATTTAACATTCAAGCCAATCTGTGGCTCTTGTTCTCTAAAGGTGGATTATATTCTCCATGGAAAGTCTTTCTCTTTCCTCTTAGCTGAAGGAAATTTGCTAACAGATGGTTTGGACTAAAGACTCGTGGTTGAAACCATATGGCTTCCCATGTGTATGTTTGGTTGGGAATATAAATGAAAACACCTCTTCATTTTTCTTTTGGATGCTCAGTGTATTTTTATTATTAATTAAATTTTATGAAAGGAAGGCAACTTTTAAGAAATAAAAATAAGTTTTTATTAACCAAAAGTGTCTCTTTAGTTTACAAAGCCCTTCAACGCATAATGTCTCATAAGGTAATTATGGCCAGAGTACAGAAAGGTTTTTTTTTTGTTTTGTTTTGTTTTTTTGTGGAGTTTTGTTCTGTCACCCAGGCTGGAGTGCAGTGGTGCAATCTCAGCTTACTGCAAACTCCGCCTCCCGGGTTCAAGCGATTCTCCTGCCTCAGCCTCCAGAGTAGCTGGGATTACAGATGCACACCAGCACGCCCAGCTAATTTTTTTAATTTTTAGTAGAGACAGGGTTTCTCCATGTTGTTCAGTCTAGTCTTGAACTCCTCACCTCAGGTGATCTGCCTGCCTTGGCCTCCCAAAGTGCTAGGATTACAGGCATGAGCCCCCACGCCCGGCCCTGGAGTCAGCTCATTCTTAACTCTGGCCTCAGTTTTCTTTCTTATAAAATGGGTTTAATATTAACAATTCATAGCCTGATTATAAGGATTACATTTAAAAACATATGTAAATGATACTAAGAGTTTCTAGCAAACACATAAGCTTAATTTTGTATCATTGTAATTATTTTTAGCGCTTCATTTGTAATTAATTCTGATTATTCACTCATATAGATCTTATCTCCACTAATTGATTTGTTTCTAATCTCTGTCATAGATGTCGTTGCTTATACTTCTTTTCAGACACTTGCTTTATTCATGATGGCACCTGATCTACTTCTATAGTTTGCTACAAAGAAATTCATGTTGAGTTTTAATTGATACTTACATGGCATGTCCTCAAACAGCAGGGTAATTTGATGAAGAAGAATTTTCTTTACTGCCCTGCAGAGTCACAAGGTTTTGTGCAGATCTAATGAGGTATTATAAATCAACATGCTTTGAAAAAGTCATTGAAAATATATGTAATTTATACTTTTAAAATCAAATTCATTTAAACTCTTTTACAAACTGTCTAATTTATATCTGATCATCCACTTGCATAATTACATATCTTTCTTTAATATTAATGGTGTGTAATGAACCAATCTATTGATATTTTCAGTTTTGATTTTTAACTACAGGGTTTTGACTTACATTTAACATATTTATTACTATCTATGTCATGTGTTCTATGAGATCTGAAAAGATATAATTCAACAAAATTAGAGTTAAAGTGATATTAAGCCCAGTAATTCCTCTCTTTGAAAATGTTTCTCTGAGGTACTAAGGATTCCTCTTGAAGTGGTTTCATCTCCATGATTCTTTCCAACCTTGGAGCTTTTATTTCTAGATGAATCAATGACTCATGGTGTGGATGGAATACATAGTTGGGATTTATGGAGCTATCATTTCCTTGCACATACAGTGTGTCAGCATACTTTTTCTGACTGTTTATCACACGAAACAACTCCCTCTGTTTCAGAAAATCGCCTGTATTTTACATTTAATCTCTAATCACTTTTTGTTATCTTCTACCATCTGCAATCCATTCAGGCTTGTCTAAATCATTTTGCGCCTTCACAGAATTCCAACTAAGTAACCTTTTTTTAGTAAGTGACTTTGGCATTATCTTTAAAAAGATCCAGAGTGTTTTTGCCCAACTTGGGCAGGTAGCTCCAATTTCTGCCATTTCTTTTAACTGCTATTCCTTGTGAGAAAAATAGAAAAGGAGACATGCAAGTGGGCCTTTGTAAGCCTTGGTGTGTTGTATTTTCAACCAGTTTGGGTATTGTGGAAAAGTGCATTAACTACCAAGCTAGAGTCTATTATTTCTGACAAACATCAATGATAGTCGTTCATCTTGATGAAGCTGTTTTAATTTGCCACAGCAATAATGATTTTGCTTGAGGTAGTATAGAAGACATCCAGCCTGTGATGGCAGAAAGAATAAACGTGGCAGAAGTAACAATCTGCATTACATTTTGAAATTATTAAAGCTAAATGCATTTACAAGATAAATTTCAGAGAGCTAGTAGTAGACCACTGCTTACTCATTGAGAACTGTACCCCAGCACATAGTGCAGACTGTGAAAACATGGGCTTGAAGAGAAAAGTAGTAGAGTATCAGAATGTTAGAAATACAGACCTATTCAAACACACACACACACACACACACACACATACACACACACACAAAGAGAGAGAGAGACATAAGACAGAAGTAACATCAGGCTTGCTGGTTTTAACCATTATAAGCATACACTTCTGGTTGGACACGATAACTTACTGTAATTCCAGCACTTTGGGACGTCGAGGTGGGAGAATTGTTTGAGCCCAGGAGTTTGAGACCAGCCTGGGCAATATGGTGAAACCCTGTTTCTACAAAATAATAATAATAATAATAAAATAATAATAATAATAAAACATTAGCTGGGAGTGGTGGCATGCACCTGTAGTTGCAGCTATTTGGGAGGATTGCTGGAGCATGGAAGACGAAGGCTGCAGTGAGCCATGATTATGCCACTGCACTGCAGCCTGGGCAACAGAACAAGATTCTGTCTCAAAAAAAGAAAAAAAAGTAAGAAAAGAAAAGTAAAAACCATGCATTTCTGTGGCTTTAAATATATTGATGCTATTGTACATCCATCACCACTATTCATCTCTGTAAATTTTCATCATACTCCGCTGAAGTACTTTACACAATAACACCTTATATTCCTTCTTCTCTTTCCCTTTGCCCCAGCCCCTGGCAAAACCATCATTCTACTTTCTGGCTCTCTGACTTTGATTACTCTTCGTTTTTAACCTCTTTGTGTCCTTACGCCTAAAGTGAGTCTCTTGTGGGCAACATACAGTTGCATTCTGTTACTTATTAACTTACTATTCAACGCCTCCTGCCAACCTATGTCTTTGGTTTGGGGTGATTCATTTTCGAGGGCTGCCATAAAAAAAGTGCTACGCTACTCGCCGAGTGGCTTAAACAACAGAAATTCACTTTACCACAATTCTAGAGGGTAGAAGCCTGAGATCAAGGTTTGGGCAGGGTTGGTTTCTTCTAAGCGCTCTCTCCTTGTCTTGTGGATGACTCTCTTCTTGTGTCTTCACATGGACTTTCCTTTATGTATTCTTCTGCTAACTTACCCTTCTTAGAAGGGCACCAGTCATGTTGGATTAGGGCTCACCTTAAGGATGACACTTTAAGTTAATTACCTCTTTAAAGTCTCTATCTCCAAATACAGTCAATTGTGAGGTACTGGTGTTTAGAACTTCAAGGTGTAACCCTTTGCGGGGAGGAGGGACATAATTCAGCCTAAAACAGGGCGTTAAATCAATTTATATTTAAAATAATTATTTAAAGGGTAGCTCTGACTTTTACCATTTTGTTGTTATTCAATTTTCATATGTCTTTCAGCATTTTTGTCCCTCCTTTGTCCCATTACTGTTATCCTCTATGTTTAGTTGATATTTTTGTAGTGTCACGTTGTGATTGTCTTCTCTTTTCTTTTTTACATATTCTATAGATACTTTCTTTATGGTTTCCATGGAGATAACATATAACATCCTACAATGATGGCAGTATCTTAAATTGACACCAGTTTACTTCATTCATATACGAAAACTTCAATCCTTACAAGTCTGCTCCCTTACTTTATGCTATTGCTGTTGTAAATTACATCTTTATATATAATGTAACTATTAGCGTAAATGCATAATTATTTTATGCATTTATCTTTAAATACTGTAGGAAATGAACATGGGGGTTTTAAGTCAAACTTAGTATAATACTTTTTTATATATATTTTCATGTATTTACCTGTACTAGGGACCCTTTTCTTTTCATGAGGCTTCAAGTGACTGTGTAGTGCCCTTTCATTTCAACTTGAAGGACTTTCTTGTAGGGAACATACATTGGTAATAAACTCACTCTATTTTGATTATCTGGGAGTGTCTTAATTTCCCTTTCATTTTTGAAGGATGGTTTTCCTAGATGTAGAATTTTCAGCTGACATTTTTTCAGCAATTAAATATATTATCCATTGCTTTTCTTTTCTTTTCTTTTCTTCTTTTCTTCAGTTGGAGCCTTGCTCTGTTGCCCAGGCTAGAATGCAGGGGCACAGTCTCAGCTCACTGCAACATCTGCCTCCCAGGTTCAAGCTATTCTCCTGTCTCAGCCTCCCAAGTAGCTGGGATTACAGGTGCCTGCCACCATGCCTGGCTGATTTTTATATTTTTAGTAGAAATGGGGTTTCACTATGTTGGCCAGGCCAGTCTTGAATTCCTGACGTCAAGTGATCCACCCACCTCAGCCTCCCAAAGTGTTGGAATTAAATACAAATTCTATTGAATATATTACGTTGTGTGAGCCACCGTGCCCAGCCTATCCATTGCTTTCTAACCTGTGAAATGTCTATGGAGAAACCTGTTGATAGTCTTATTATGGATCCCTTGTTTATGAGGACTTGCTTTTCTCTTTCTGCTTTTAAGATTCTCTCTTTTTCTTTGGCTCCTAACAGTTTGATTATTATGTGTCTTGCTGTGGATCTCTTGATGTTTATCCTACTAGGTGTTCATTAATCTCCTTGAATTTGTACATCTATGTCTTTCCTCAAATTTGGAAAGTTTATATTCCTTTATTTAAATTCATATCTATAATTGTTGTTGTAAATTCATTGTCTAGCAAGTCTGATGCATATATTTCTTCAGTGACTGTATCTAGAGATTTATTTCGACCCTTTGAATGGCCATGTTTCCCTCTTTCTTTGTATGCCTTGTGGTTTTTGTTAAAAAAAAATAAGCATTTGAAAAAAATTAACTACCGTGCTCCATGTTTGCAGAACACGGTAGAAAATGTTCACTAATTAGTGGGCCTCTGAACGTTGAGATCAACCTGGACTGAAGACTTTAGGTGTTTTCACGTTTTTGGGGGGTACATGTCCTGTCTGGGTTTGTGTGTACATTTTGCTGTATTTTTGTTTTTATTTTTTTCCCCAGCTGCTTTTAAACATATTAATATTCCAAAGAATCTAACCTCATCTTCTCATTGGGACCTTAGATATGTGTTCTATTGTATTCCTCTGCCTGGAATCCCTTACCCCAGTGTACCCATGGGTTTGCAATCTTGCTGCAGTTTTCTATACAGCAGTGCTTGTCACAGCCTTTCATGGCTGCTAGCCAGAGATCCCAATTATGCCGCCCTTCCTCATCTGACCTGCAAGTCAGGAAAGACAGAGCTCAGTCTCTCAGGCAGCCCACAGAGCGACCATCGTGCTGCCAGCCACTTTCTCTCTGCTTCTTCATACCTAGAGAGGAAACTGGTCACTGGGCCGCTTCCTCTCAACTGCACTGTGCCACGCAAGTCATGGTATGAAACAAGGGAGAGTAAGACATCATGAAATATAGTCCTATTTTGAACATCTTTTTCTTCATTGGGCATTTGCTTGGTTGTTACAGATTTTTTTACTGTCATTTAGCGCTCCTGTAAAATTATTTTAATCTTCTGGTAGTCATTTCTTTGGTGTTTCCATAGGGAAATACAGGTCTGGAGCTTTCTGTCTCACTATCTACTGATGCTATCACCAAACTTGCTGGATTATTTTGATATAATATTGAGAAAATTAAACATTTAGAAAATAAAATTTTGGAATTCAATATAATTGTCACATCATGCAGCAAAATAATGTTTAGATGTTATTAAAAAAAACTTATTTTAAAAAAGAAATAAAAATACCTAAAAAATATCTTAACCCGTTTGGAATAGTGAAGTACTTACTAAGAATGAAACCACATAATATATTCAATAGAATTTGTATTTAATGAAGGATTATGTTACCCAAATTTATTCTCATTTAGTAGTAAAAGATAAATTTTGACTGGGTGTGGTTGCACATGTCTGTAACCCCAACACTTTAGGAGGCCACAGTGCGAGTGTCACTTGAGCCAGGAGTTTGAGACCAGTCTGGGAAACATAGTGAGACTCCATCTCTAGAAAAGATTTTTTTTTTAATTATCTGGGCACGGTGGCACAAGCCTGTGTTACCAGCTATTAGGGAGGCTGAGACGGGAGTATCGCTTGATCCTGGGAGGTTGAGGCTGCAGTGATCCATGATTGTGCCACTGCACTCCCACCTGGGCAACAGAGTGAGATCCTGTCTCAAAACAAACAAACTAAGCTAAACTTGATATGATTACTGTTGTTTTTATGGTAATTTTAATCAAATGCTTCACGAGTTCCACATATACCCAGACATATTATTTTCTTCTCACGGAATTATTTAAAATATTTGTGAGAAAATGTATATTTATATGTATACCTTTCAGCTACAAATAATAGAATCAGCTATTCATTGGATTTACGCTATAGTAAATCAGCTATAATAAATACAACAGAATGTTCAGAATTGCGACATTGCTCCTAAATTGGTTGATTTTCTGCCTTAACAATAAGGTAGCAGGTCCAGGTTCTTGACACATCTTTTCTGTTGCATACATGCTGTTGTCTCCATCCTTGGATTATAGGAAAATGGCAGCAATAGTTCTACATTTGAAACCTGGACACAGAAATTTTCAGAGTAAAATAGATATGCACTTTATTAGCATCCTGTAATGTTTCCCAGAAGTACTCCTGTGGACTTCCCCTCACATCTCATTATACTGAATTGGGTCCCAAGCCCTCTGCTAAGCAAATTCCTGGGAGAAAAAAAAAGAAATGTGTTAGTTTGATTAGACAAATTATACAGGATGAAATGAATGTTGAAGTGAGAGCTACTCTATCCAATAAACAAATGAGTTCTTTAGAAATTATTCTGTGATGGTGCAAGTCCCAACAGGAGAAAAGTTTTTCCATGAAATTCGAGAAATAAATCAGTGCATTTGAACAAAGAAACCATTATGGGTTTTAGTTCAATGATAAGCACTTCAATGTTTAAAATATACATAATGTTATTTAAAGTATCTTTTGTATAGAAGTTAGTAAATATCATCTCTGTTGTCATCTATGGGAATAAGTGAAGACTTTCTTCTCTCTAAGTGTATGCGTTTTTCTCATAATGCTGTTTTTCTGATCATGCTGTTAATTGTGACCTGGCATAAAAGTAATCATAAGGACCAAATGAGATTTTTTATTAAATTTTGACATCTTAAAAATGAGAGAAATAAAACCAAAGATTATCATCCTTTCACTGGAAAACACATGTTTGATTTTCACCAATCAGAATATAAACACTTATTTGAATGTATTTAAGGTGTCTTAATTCCTTTGGAGATCACATTTTAAGTCATTATCATTAAAGAACTGAAAATGCCTAGAATAAATTTTTTATCTGGGTATTTCCTCAATAACTATACAGCATTTTGACAATGTTTCTGTCTATTACAGTGAGCCAAGGAGGTGTTGCATTGGTCTCTGACATGTGTCCAGATCCTGGGATTCCAGAAAATGGTAGAAGAGCAGGTTCCGACTTCAGGTAAGAGATACAATAGTGGTGGAAAAAAGCATGTTATTTTTAAGACATATATTATTTCAGCTTGCAGTTAAATTTAACTCTTTTGTTCTTTTGAGGTAAAGATAAAACTTCTTAATCATTAACTCTAAATGTGTGTAATCACAATTTGTCTTCAGAGATTTTGTTTTTTGTTTATAATCTGTTAAAAGTTCTGTATTAGTCCCTTCTCACACTGCTAATAAAGGCATACCAGAGAGTGGGTAATTTATAAAGGAAAGACGTTTAATTGACTCATAGTTCAGCATGGTTGAGGAGGTCTCAGGAAACTTACAATCATGGCAGAAGGGGAAGCAAACACATCCTTCTTCATATGGTGACAGGAAGGAGAAGAATGAGCGAAGTGGAGGAAAATCCTCTTAAAAAACCATCAGATCTCATGAGAACTCACTCACTAACATGAGAACAGCATGAGGGTAACTGACCCCATGATTCAATTGCCTCTCACCGGTCCCTCCCATGACATGTGGAGATTATGGATGCTACAGTTCCAGATGAGATTTGCGTGGGGACAGAGCCAAACCATGTAAATGTCATATTCCAATTCTTTTAATGTTTAAAGATAGAAGGTAAAATATTTAATTATCTCCTCATAGTTATTTCATTAAAAAACTTTAGGAATGATGCATGTTAGTATCAGTCAGTAAAGTTTATTCAGAAAATGCATATCATTTTACTAGGATTATGGTGAACTAGATACTGATTTTCTGTTGCTACATTATGAATACAGTAGTGATTATAATAGTCCTATTACTTTAGATTTTTGCACTTATTTCAGTGAGTTCAAGAAATGTAACATTTTCCATCTTACAAGATGGATGCAATTATTAGAAGCAGCTGTAAAATAAAATAGTAAAGAGAAACAAGATATGTGTTTTTCCTTCTTACAATGTCACCATTTTTGAAAAAAATCCAAAAAAAGGTTCACAGAGCTAAGGCTGCTGAAGTGGGCTACAAATGGAAGAAAAGTACTGCTACTATTAGAGAGGAAAGAAGGAATGTTTTTTAGTTAAATTGGAGTAACAACGGTCGTTTTAAAAGCAATAGAAAAATAAGAAAACTGTAGTGTGTCTATATTGAAGTTGGTAAAATGGTATATTGTTTTACATGAAAAGCATACAAAGTATAGATGTGAAGAAATAGTGTCGGAATGGATATAGGTTAACTATTACACATCTTGACTAATATATTAAGAAGTTTGTGTTTTCGCTGAAATCCATTTGAGGCAGAGCTTGAGATGAAATTTCTTATTGAAGTGATTTATTGGAAAAGTGGTCTCTGGAGGAGGGGAGTAGAGGAAGTGGAATAGAATTGGAGTAAAGAGCTAAGCAGAAGGATGTTTTTACTGGAGACTCACTTCAGTCTGTTTCCATGGCGAGTTCTGGGGCACAAACTGTACTGACAAGCAGGCCTCACCTTTTGTACCCACTTTGCTGTCTGTCAATAAATGGCTTCCTTCCTTTGGCTCAAGGAAGTTCTCCAGAGGAAGAGTTGGTTGTGAACAGTTATTAGCAATGCAGTGAGTGTGGTGTGTGGATGCACCAGCTGGCAGCTAACAGAAGGATGCTGGTTTCCAGTATCATATTAGAAAACAGCAGTCATTTGAAGTCATTCAGGAATTTTATCTCTTTTGAAAACAAAGCAACGAAATAAAATTGCCCATTCTTCCAAGGGCTCCCCATTCTATGTATTCCTTCCTTGTGTCAACAGTCATGTCTTTCATGTCCCTCTTGTCGAGGAAAAATCTTCTTCCTGCTTCCCTTCCCTTTCCTTCTGTGCCCCTTTGTCAGAGTTGACAACAGTGCATCATCACGATGTGCTCACACATCTGTTTTCTCACCTGTCTTAAGCGTCTCCAGAATGGAGAGTGTCTTATCTTTGCATCCTCAGTGACTAAAACTGTGCGTGGCACAAAGAAACTCATCTATGTGTGATATATACTTTGTGTATCAGAGGAACTGCCCATCTTGTATCCTGTCATCCCAGAAACCTAGAAACTTCTTTGGTGAATTTTGCAGAGCTGTATTCTAAAAACAAAACAAATTAACTCATATCTGAGAATATCAAATTCTTCAAATTGCACTTCATGTTTTAAAAAAATGACAGAGGAAATGCTTAAGCTTTAAAAGTTAACAGGGAAGTTGTGAATATTCAGGCCAATGTCTTCTTAGCACATGGGCAATCATGGAAGTTTTAATCATATCCTAGGTGAGTAAGCCAATCTTTACTCCATTTCATTCTCAGATCAGACTTATTTCTGAAGAAGAGGTTTAAATTCAGGATGAACATTAAGTCTGAGGGCTGTGTTGATCTGGCTCGGGGGGCGGTGTAGGGAGAATCTAGGTTGTGCAGACGTATAGCCCGTCAGGGAAAGAATATAGATAAGGTTTCTGTAGAATCTTATCTCAGAAGAGAATTTCAATCTGTCACTTTCCTAGTTTTTTGGGAAATCACTATGTTGTTTATATGTCTCTATGTTTGTAGCAATAGAAATCAAATGCCATAACACCTGGGAAGATGATTTGAAAGATTAAATTTTCTCTTAAATACACATGTAAAATGTTATTTGTATCGTCTATGGTGTGTGTATGTGTATACGAATATATACATAACAGAGACAAGCTAGTTATATAGTAGCTTTTTTGATAGATTTCCTAGAACTTTCTCCCTAGGTGATTTTGTTATCTACAAATAAAAGGATTTTTAATTTTTGCTTTCCAATCGGATTTTTTTTATTTCTTTTTCTTCTTTAAATGTATTGGTAAGAAACTATTTTACAAGATTGAGTAGAAATGGTGAGACATCTCTGCCTTTATTCCTGAGCTTAGGTGGAAAGTGTTCTGGCTTTCATTATAGTTATGACATTGCTTGTTGGTTTTTCATAGATGCCCTTTATCAGTTTGAGGAAGTATCCTTCTGTTTGTAATTTTTTGAGGTGTGTGTGTGTGTGTGTGTGTGTGTGTGTGTGTGTTTTAATCTGACATGAATTTGGAATTTTTTCAAAAGTTTCTACATCTATTGACATGACCATTTTTTGTTTGTATATTTTGTGAATATGAGGGCTTAACTAATTTCCCTAAGTTAAAAACTCATATTCTGAAATAATATTAATTTGTAATGATGTTTTTTTCTTTTTATGGATTGTTGAATTTGACTTGTTAAAATGTTGTTTAGTTTTTTTACAGGTATTTTTATGAGTTATGATAGGCTGTAGACTTTTCTTATAAAGACTTTGTTGTTCCTGTCAGAGTAAAAATGGTCTCAAAATTAATTGAAAAATGTTCTCTTCTCTGGAATACCATAGAAGAGTTTGTGTATAATTGTTAATATTTCATTGCTAAATGTTTGGAATAATTCACCAGGGAAGCTACCTGGAATTGGAATTTTCTTACAAGTAGGTTTTTAATTACGGATTGAATTTCTTTTCTACTTACAGGCTTATGTAGATGATCTACTTCTACTTCAGTGAGCTTTGATAGTGTGTATCTTTCAAGAAATTATAAATTTTAATCTAAGTTGTCAAATTTGTTGGCTTAAAATTATTCTTATCTTTCTTTATTATCCTTTAAATGAGTAGTAATTTCACAGCTCAAATTCTTGATATTCATATTTTTAAAAAAATTTTACTTGTTCCATCTGCCTATTAACATGTCAATATTATTGAACTTCTCAAAAAAATACAATTTACTTTTACATACATTTCTGTATTGTTTAGTTTCTCTTCAATTTCATTGATTTCTGCTCTGACCTCTTATTAATTTATTTCCTCTGTTTACTATGGGCTCCATTTGTTCTTCTTTTTCTAGTCTCTTAAAGTTGAAGCTGAGATCAGTGATTTAAGACCTTTATTCTTTCTAAATGTGGGTATTTACTGCTATCAATTTTCCTCTAAGTAATGCTTTGGCTGCATCTCTTCAATTTTGATATGCTGTGTTTTCATTTTCCTGCAGCTTGAATTACATTCTATTTTCCCTTGTGATTACTTTTTTGTTCCATGATTTATTTGAAAGTTTTCTATTTTGTTGCCATATACTGAACATTTTCTAAGAATCTGCATGGTTAGAGATTATGCTTTAAAGGATCTGAACTTTAAAAAATGTTTTGATAATTGCTTTATGGGCAAGAATATGCTCTATCTTGGTAAATGTTCCATGACCACTTGAAAATAACACATATTTTAGTGTTGTTGGGTGAAGTGTTCCATAAATGTCAGTTAGATCAAGTTGGTTGACAGTGTTGTTCAAGGCTTTGTGATCCCTACTAATTTTCTTAACACTTGTCAGATCTGTGATTGAGAGAGATTTATCTAAATCATCTACTAAAATTGTGAATCTGTCTATTTCTCATTGCAGCTTTATCAGTTTTTGCTTCATGTATTTTGAAGCTCTGTAATTAGGTACGCAAATGTTTAAAATTGCTGTGTATTTTTGTTTCTTCAATACCTTTTGTTATGAAATGACTTTCTTTACCCTGAGTAACATTTTTTACTCTGAAATCAAATTTGTCTTACATTTGCATAGCCATTTTAGCTTTCTTTGAATTATTGTTAGTCTATAATATATGGATTGTTATATATGTTTCTATATTCAATCTGTTGCACAACATTGTTTTAATTAAATATTTTTAAAAATCCAGTTGTACATATAGCTGAAAAGGAAATTAGTATTTTAAAAATCTTTTCAAATAACTGAGTATATTATTTGATACTATAACAAAAATTGGCAAATGATGTCATCTTAAATTTTAGATGCAATTTGGATATGGGGTTTTGAAAATAAACATTTTTTATTTTCTTACATCAAAATTTATTGGCTGAACTTCTGTCCTAAATTAATTTTTTGTATATGCATGATTTTGTACCTCATACATTGGTCATTTGAAAATAATGATTCATCGAGTTATGAGTTCTTTCAAATATTTATACATTGTCCTATACATTATTTACAAAAATACATTTGTTGATATTACCATGTATTTCATTAGGAGGATCTGAAAGCATTGAAAAACTGTCAAACTCATGATGATAGATACCAGCTTTTGAAAATTTTCTAATTTTCGTTAGAAAATTACAAATGAAAATTACAATTTTATTACTAATGAAAATTAGAAAACTTTAACTTTGTCATGGGCTCAAATTTTGTCATTTTCCTTGAAGTAAAAGACTCATTCAGTTTTTATAAATAAGTGAGAGATACTCCAATCTTAGCAGTGATAGTTGGTCTATCGTTCTTTAAATTAAGAGGAGTTCAGTAGAAAAGCAAGCAGCCAGCTCAACTCAAAACTCAAACAATTACATAGATGTTTGTTCCTCCAGAGCTCCCTCAGGCTTCACCAAGCCCTAGAGACACATTACGTATTCAAGTGTTATGATTTATTAAAACAATCATTTTCCCTGCTCCCTCAAGGACTTTCTTTTTTTTTTTAATTTAACTTTATTATTATTATACTTTAAGTTTTTAGGGTACATGTGCACAATGTGCAGGTTAGTTACGTATGTATACATGTGCCATGCTGGTGTGCTGCAGCCATTAACTCGTCATTTAGCATTAGGTATATCTCCCGATGCTATCCCTCCCCCCTCCCCCCACCCCACAACAGTTCGCAGAGTGTGATGTTCCCCTTCCTGTGTCCATGTGTTCTCATTGTTCAGTTCCCACCTATGAGTGAGAACATGCGGTGTTTGGTTTAAGTGACACTGCACCTTTTCTCTCCTACTGCCTGGTGCTGTTGCTTGACTGGTGCGAAATCGCCATCAGTTTTTCCCATCATTGTTTCTGCACTGTCAATGGAAAAGGCAACTCAGTGAAGAAGGCACATAACACCTTAGAGTATTGTAAAATGATTTTGACCTCACAGACCTTCTAAAATTCCACCTTTCCAGGCATCTGTGGGGCACACCTTAAAAAGAGATGCATTAAGTATGCAATTCTACTGAGCATAAAAATTATAATTGGAGTTAAGAGAAAGAACATATGAAGAAAGAAACATTATAGTAAGATATTTGCTATGTTACAAGAAAAATTGAGTTGAATTGAAGTGAATGTCATCTATACTGGTAGCTTAGGATTGTGTAGTGATCATGGGCATCTGATGTACATGACCTATATTTATATGTGTACATGACCTATATTATATACTTATATGACCTATTTATTTTTATAGAGACAATCTGTTACTTGTCACTCAGCCTGGAGTACTGTAATCTCGAACTCCAGGGCTCAAATGATCGTCCCACTTCGATCTCCTGTGTAGTTGGGAGTATAAGCATGAGCCACTGACTCAATTAATTTGTTAAAAGATTTTTGTAAAGACAAGGTCTCGCTGTGTTGCCTAGGCTGGTTTCTAACTCCTGGCCTCAAGCAGTCCTCCCTCCTTGACATTCAAAATTGCTGGAATTACTGATACCGTGCCCAGCCCACATATCGATTTATTGTTTATATCTACTATTTATGTTCCATGGGATAGTAAAACCCATTGTATTCATATGGAAGCTGCTGGACTACAGCCAAGTAAGGATGCCTTATGACACTTAGATGAAATGACACATGGTGGGCCTCTCATATAATCAGTTCATTACAAATGTTGATGTTTTAAAAGGAGGGAAGGCTGGGTGCTGTAGGCTAAGGTGGGTGAATCTCGAGGTCAGGATTTTGAGACCAGCCTGGCCAACAAGTTGAAATCCTGTCTCTACTAAAAATACAAAAATTAGCTGGGCATGTTGGTGTGCGCCCGTAGTCCCAGCTACTTGGGAGGCTGAGGCAGGAGAATCGTTTGAACCCAGGAGCCGAGATCGCACCACTTCACTTCAGCCTGGGGGACAGAGCAAGACTCTGTCTCAAAAAAAAAAAAAAAAAAAAAAAAAGGGAAGATACTTTTTAACAGTCTTTTCTTTTGAGACTCTCTTTAATGAAAGGTAATTCGGTTTTTTTTTTTTTAAATTCTTATAATCAAAACTAATGACTAACATGTAATCCAAACTAACAACCAACAAGGCCAAGATGCGTAGATGAGCTCATTTGCAGTGTAGCCCTTGTAAATATGTAACTTGGGGCTGTTTTGTTAAAAAGAGTTCACTTTTTTAGGCTGGTAAAATATTCCTCATCTGGTTTCATTTATAGTATTATTCTGGGTTCTTGAGAAATCCCTTTTCCGTAGACAACCTAAATATTAATTCTATCATTATGTATAAAATACCCGAAGAAAATAAAGCATAAAATACAAAGCTTGCTTATTTGAATTCAAGTCAGTTTGGGGACAGTTTGCTGACAGTATTTTTCACCATAGACCACTGTCTAAAAGACAAAGTGTATTCATCACAATTGAATATTTATCAGTAAGATTGATGGAAGTATTCAAATACCAATATCTGAGGGAGGGAGCTCAGATTGGTATTGAGAATTTATGGGTGGGTACTGTCATCTATTGTTCATCTGTCTTTCTGTGCTAACAGGATATGTAGCCTATGTCCAGGCAGATGTAATTATCCTCATGTTTATAAGTAGAAGCGTTGAAATTCAGAACGCTAACCTAACAAAGTGCTATATCTTGTCAGAGTCAGAGCTGGATCCTACTGATATCAAAGCTTCTATTGACCTTGGTAGTTTGTAACACAGATAATTATAATAGAAGTTTTTACACTCACTATGCAGGACCGCTGGAAAGGGGTGTGTAGTGTGCGGACTTCACAAAGTAGCCAATGAGGAGTCAAGGTATGGTTGAAATTTGCCCTTGAGCTCAGCATTCCAAGCCCTGCAGCTTAGCATGCATTGCATATGCTGAGCAGAAGGACAATCTTGGTTTAATTGATCACTGCAAGGGGTGTGTCATGTTGTAATTGGCACCACGGATCCACATAGACTAGCATTGGCCGTGATGCACACTGCTGGACGTTATGATTTTTTTTTTTTTTTGAGACAGAGTCTCACTCTGTTGTCCAGGCTGGAGTGCAGTGGCATGATGTCGGCTTACTGCAGCCTCCACCTCTCAAGTTCAAGCAATTCTCCTGCCTCAGCCTCCTGAGTAGCTGGGATTACAGGCGTGTGCTACCATGCCCGGCTAATTTTTTTGCATTTTTAATAGAGACGGGGTTTCACTATGTTGGCCAGGCTCGTCTCAAACTCCTGACCTCGTGATCCACCCACCTTGGCCTCCCTAAGTGCTGGGATTACAGGCGTGAGCCACAGCGCCCAGCCATATTTTTTTAATATATAATTTCAAATTCTTCTATCCTTTTAAGAACATTTCAAAGATGCTGAAACTGAACTTAGGGAGCTCCCTGAATTCTCTGAAACTTGAGCTTCTCAACTGCTTCCATGTCCCTTTTCTCTTTTCTTCCACAATGTGGCCCCCTTCATGTCTATCCATAAAGAGCTCCATGTGGCCACAGCCCTGATTCTGCATGAGCTGCAATATCTGTCCTGACACTACCTCCTCTGCAGGTGGCACCTGCCCACCTTCAGTGTCCTGTCTTTCTTCCTTTACTTTTTTTTTTTTTTTTTTTGAGATGGCTTCTTGCTCTGTTGCCCAGGCTGGAGGGCAGTGGCACAATCTTGGCTCACTGCAACCTCTCCACCTCCCAGGTTCAAACAATTCTCCGGCCTCAGCCTCCTGAGTAGATGGCATTACAGGCACATACCACCACGGCTGGCTAATTATTTTGTATTTTTAGTAGAGACAGGGTTTTCCCATGTTTGCCAGGCTGGTCTTGAACTCCTGACCTCAAGTGATCCGCCTGCCTTGGCCTCCCAAAGTGCTGGGATTACAGGCATGAACCACTGTGCCTGGCTACTTCCTTTACTTCTTAGTCATGTTCTTCCTCAAGTATCATCTCCTTTCTGCCACACCAACACCAGCCATGCTGATTCTTCTCATTTGAGTCTTTCCACAAAGGAGTATTGCCAGTTAATGGAGATACAGAGGAGGGGCTTTAATAGGCAAAACCGACTGATATGGAATAGTTCTCCGTAAAATTTTTTGTTCTTTTTGTAAATAGAATATCCAGTCATACACTGCCTAACAATGGACTGCATATATGATGGTTTTCCCTTAAGATTTTAATGGAGCTGAAAGATTTCCATTGCCTGGTGATCTCCTAGCTCTGCTCCCTCCCAGCACAGAGCAGTCCTCACATGTTTGCGGCAGTCTTGATGTAAGACAGATGTACTGTGCTGCCAGTCACAGAAAAGGCTAGCACATACTTGATAATGAGAATCAATGACTGTCTTAGTAGTTCATGCATTTACAATGGTATACTTTCTACTGTTATTTTAGAGTATACTCCGTCTGCTTATAAAAAACACAAAAGTTAACTGTAAACAGCCCCAGGCAGGTCCTTCAGGTGGTATCCAGAAGAAGGAATTGTGATCATTGGACATGACAGCTTCATTTATGTGTGTCCTTGCCCCTGAAGACTTCCCAGTGGGACAAGCTGTGGAGGTGGAAAACAGTGATATTAATGATCCTGACGTCGTGCAGGCCTAGGCTAGTGCGCTTGTTCATGTTTTAGTTTATAACAAAAGGTTTAGAAAGTAAAAAGAACAATAGAAAAAAGCTTGTGAAATAAAAATATTAAGAAAAAACACTTTTGTACAGCTGTACTATGTGTTTGTGTCTTAAACTGAGTATTATTGCAAAAAACTCACAAGTTAAAAACTGTAACACGGTAGGCCAGGCACGGCGGCTCACGCTTGTAATGCCAGCACTTTGGGAGGCTGAGGTGGGCAGATCATGAGATTAAGAGATCGAGACCATCCTGGCCAACATGGTGAAACCCTGTCTCTACAAAAATACAAAAAAATTTGCCGGGCGTGGTGGCAGGTGCCTGTAGTCCCAGCTTCTTGGGAGGCTGAGACAGGAGAATCACTTGAACCCAGGAAGTGGAGGTTGCGCTGAGTGGAGATCACGCCACTGTACCCCAGCCTGGGGACCCAGTGAGACTCTGTCTCAAAAAAAAAAAAAAAATTGTAACGAAGTAAAATTGTTACAGTAAGTTAAGGTTAATTTATTATTGAAGAAAGAAAAGCATTAATAAATTTATAGTGGCCCAAGGATACAGTGTTTCTAAGGTCTACAGGAGTGTACAGTCATGTCCTAGGCCCTCACATTCACTCACCACTTACTGACTCACACAGAGCAACTTCCACCCTGCCAGCTCCATTCATAGGGAGTACCCTATATGAATGAGACATCTTCCGTCTTTCATACCATATCTTTTCTGCTCCTTTTCTATGTTTAGGTATACTTAGATATACGAACACTTACCATTGTGTTCAATTGCCTACAGTACTCAGTACAGTAACATGCCGTATGGGTTCATAGCCTGGGAGGACTAGGCTGTACCATGAAGCCCAGCTGTGTATCAGGCTACACCATCTGGGTGGGTGTAAGGGCCCTCTGTGATGTTCGCACAACCACCAAATTGCCTAACAATGCATTTCTCACACTGCATCCTGGCCTTAAAAGACAAGTGACTGCACCTTGGCCCATCTCTGTCCTCCCCCACCCACACGGTTGGCTTCTCTCTGCAGAACGAGGGGCTCTTTACACCCAGCTTCTTGTCATTTCCCGATTTCAACGTTTCCTAGCATCTTTGAGTTTTATACATGTATTTATGTTACTATCATCTCATTACAATCATGTGATTTTGTAGGAAAGGGGAGACGCCTTATTGATTTGATTTTATATGACCGGACCCCACACAAGGCAGAAGACTCCTCTGTTGAATGGATTAAACTGAGGCTAACAAGCCAGTCTCTAGGGATATATGGACATAACCTCATTAATAGTCTGCTAAACCAATTAAGTTAAGCACTGCTCATCAGAGAATAGATTAACAATTAAAATTAGAGTCATAACCTAGGCTCTAAAGGGAATTTGGGGGTTGAAAGAGTGCTATTTATGACTTAAAAACTGAATAGTTAATGTATGTCCTTGGTATGTGCATGTTACTATTCATGCTAATAACATCTGTTCTTTGTCTTAGCATATTTTTATCTCGAGGATACCATGTTTATTTTTCATTCTATTTTGAAATATGCTTTATGAATTATGTGTCATCAAACGGAAGGAGAAACTGAAGTACATTAAGGAAAAAAATTACATAATAAGAAGCAGAAACAAATCCATAGCCCATGTGTTGTGATAAACAACTGCTCATTTCTAGTTTCCACATTCAGTTATCTTAATTTTTTGTAGCGTATTGATAATTTTATTTATAGTTATTATAGTATTGCTGCATTGGTTTTATTATTTCTCCATTGTAGGTCAACTCCAGCGAGAGCAGAGGCACCTGTCTCTTGTTACATGAAAATGTAAAGAATTGCACTTATGGACTGTGTAGAAACCAGGGAGTAAATGTGGTGTTCTTTTCAGTAAGAATTGCTTTCATCTGGGCGCGATGGCGCACGCCTGTAAACCCAGCACTGTGGGAGGCCGAGGCGGGTGGATCACAAGATCAGGAGCTCGAGACCAGCCTAGTCAAAACAGGGAAACCCTGTTTCTACTAAAAATACAAAAATTAGCCAGACATGGCATGCGCCTGTAGTCCCAGCTACTCGGGAGGCTGAGGCAGGAGAATCACTTGAACCTGGGAGGCTGAGGTTGCAGTAAGCCGAGATGGCACCACTGCACTCCAGCAGTGACTCCTCAAAAGAAAAAAACAAAAGAACTGCTTTCTTTTAAGTTGTGTTATTGAATCATTTTTTTAAATGATGAAGAAATGAGGGAAACCAAAGGCACATTATAAATTTTATTATGAAAAGTGTCAAACAAGCCCAAGCCCAAAAGCAGGTGAACACAGAGCGTGGAGGTAGCTAGAGCCCCCTAGATAACTCTCACTGTTGTCTTCATCAAGAGAGAAATGCTATCACGTTGATGCCCTTGGATACCACAAGCAATAAAACTGCACACTCAGGTTATGCCCATGTGTCCAAGGGCACTGATGTTATAATGTTTCTCTCCTGATGCAGAGAATAATGGAGAGATATCTAGGGACCTCTAGCTCTTCCCCTCCTGTATTTCCACCTGCTTTTTGGCTCCTTTGATTCCTTTTCTTGCTTACTATTTTATTTGTCATCATTTATATACTTTATAGATTTCATATACTTATAAAGTTAGAGCAGATGCATACACTGATATCTCGGTTGGTATCCTATGTGGTATTGGCTCTCCTCTTTAGCACGTCTTCATTTCTATGATCCTTCTCGTGTTTTCCATGATATGTTGACATCTTCTGTCCTCTCAGCAATGCTAAGAGATGTGTTATATACTGACCAGAGAAAATCCAGATCTTAAGATTCGGAGCATCACCCCATGAGGTACCTGTTCCGTGCTACTTCCTGGCCACACAATCTGAAATGGACCTTTGGTCCCCCCCCGCAGCCTCCCTCCCTCTGGCCTTTGACTTTCTAGCACTGACCAGCCAGAAATTCTATGCACGTCTATGCTTCCAATTTGATTTCACTAAGCATAATTCATGTTTATATATTTTCTATCTGCCCACAAGATTCTGAGCCCCGTAGAGAGAAGAACTTTGTTTTATTCACTATCATGTTTCCAGTGTTCAGTACAGAGCCTGCTTCGAAGGAAGCATTCAGCCATTATTCACTAAGTTATTTAATTTTACTTTTATATCAGGAATGCATTTACATTTACAGGTTGTAAGGCAACAATAAATATTGATTCAGTATGCAAAATTTTCATTTACAGGTAAACTTGTAAGAACATAATTATTCCCAATAAAAAAGCTGCTGTTTCTTTGCATCATATACTGTATTAAGCATTAAGCCTTGGCCATTTGCTAGATCATTTATGTACAACTAGAAGAAAAAGTAGAAAGTATGGACATCATTGGATTATGATTGTTATTCCTTCTTCCCATCAACTAAAAAATTTAGTTTACTAATAGATGAAACATTTGTAAAGTTAGAATCAAGCCCATATATCAGGGGGTTTTTTAAGAAAATTTGGAAACTATAATGAATACAAGAGGGAATTTTAAAAACATTCAAGTTTGGTTTCTTGTTGGAAAAAAATCCCCTTTGTGACATAATCCGTTTCCATTCCATGTCCCTAAGTGGAAGACAAAGAACTGTCTTTTATTTTTTGAAACTCAAACATGATCTTATTTCTTGAACCAGTGTTCATTTCTGTAAGTGATTTTTACTCTCTTGTCTAGTGGAGAAAACAGTAAGGTGAAGGAGGACAAAGTGGGATTGGGCGCTCAGTCCAGGTTTGTCATATAAAGAAAGGAGGCTTTAGCTCGCAAGCCTTTCCTGACGTGCTGTATTTGAGCCTGCCGCGCCTAAGTCCCCTGCCATTGTCCAAAGTGTTTTCACAACTTAAAAAAAATTTTAAGGAACATAACATATTCCTATGCCTGTAACTGAAGGCAGGCAGGTAGCTTTTGAAGGAGGATTCATGGTTACTAGGAAACTGAAGCAGAGTAGGAAAAATATTTGCCGATGATTACTGCTCTTTCAAAGAGCATCAACTGCATTTTTTAAGAACTACTTAAGAAATACCACAAACAATAATATCCCATTGACACTCCTTGAAGCCTTTATGTCCCTTTGAAAAATGACACACTCTGAATGTTTCAGATCATATTTGTGTGGCTAAACTTGCTTCTGATAAGCAATTCACCAAATAGGGCTGGTGGAATATCCTCCCTCTCTCTTACACAGTCTTTTCAATATCTGTAGTAGAAAAGTAATTTTTTCATCAAAATAAAATACACATTTAAATAGTCTTCTGAGAAAATAGGTGATTGTTACTTGAGCCTATATTAATTTGTTAGCTTCAAAATACAAAACATAGTTGATGAATTATCAACAAAAGCCCAGTTTGTCATGATCATCAGATATGCCATCTCGGGGACTATTTGAATATAAATGCTCTTCAAAATGACCTTCTGTAACACTTTTTCTGTGTGTGTGTGTGTGTGTGTGTGTGTGTGTGTAATTCTTCCTGTAAAAGAATGGGTTGAAATAGGAGATGTGATTATTTCTTCCATACATTAGAATTATAACACCCTGTGACTCTTAGCCATGTGTTTGCCATATTCTACTTTAGAATAAGATTCTGCAAAAATTTCATGGCTCTGTTCAGGAGTGTCAACAACCTTTGAGGCTAAAAGAAGCCTGTGAGATCATCATCAGTGATATGCAAAAGAGTTTAGGATCAATATTAAAGCAGTGAACGTTCAATGACCAACCAGTGCATTGATTTTGGGGCCATTCCCCCTGCTCCCTAATTTTTCTAATTCCTTTAAAATCTCTTCAGAATCTCAGGTGATTCATTTTGCTTTCCTCTATGCCTCCACCGGAAATTTGTTGAAGGAAAGAAGAGAGTTAGTGTTCATTGATCTGCCCTAGAGAGAAAGTGATCTGGTTTTCCTGGGGACTCTAAACTGTGCAATTAAACACACTCCAGTTACCCCGAAGGTTCTGGTTTAATTGGTCAGGAAGATGGACCAGTCATGAAGATTTTTAAAGAGAATGTTTAATTGTGATAAAATCCACATAATATAGAATTTAGCATCCTGACCATTTTAAGTGTGCAGTTCAATGGTGTTAACACATTCATATGGTTGTATAACCATGACCACCATCCATCTCCAGAATTCTTTTTATCCTGCAAAACTGAAACTCCATACCCATAAAGCCATAACTTCCCATCCTCCCCTACCCACATCTCCCGACAGCCACCATTGTACTTCCTGTTCCTGGGAACGTGATCACTATAGACAGAATGTGCTATAACCCTCTCTCTCTCTAGGGCAGATCTGTGAACACTAACTCTCTCCTTTGCTTCAACACATTTCTGGTGAAGACGTAGGGGGAAACAGAATGAATCATTTGAGATTCTGAAGAGTTTTTAAACGAATTGGAAACATTAGGGAGCAGGGAGAATGGTCCCCAAATCAATGCACTGGTTGTTATTCAATGTTCACTGCTTTAATATTGTTCCTATAGTTGATAACTCTTCTGCATATTACCAATGATTTCACAGGCTTCCATTAGCCTTAAAGTTTGTTGACGCTGCTGAACAGAGCCATGAAAATTTTGCAGCATCTTATTCTACAGTAGATTGTGGTGACTAGTGTAGGTAACTCAATGTTAGACCTTTTATAAGTGCCTGCTGTGATTCTGATGTGCAAGCGAGGTTGGTAACCATTGGCCTGCCTGGTGTATGTCATCCGTGATATGAGATTAGAGATAGGTGACTAAATACAGATGGGCTTGCTTTTCTAAACCTGTTTGATAGCATAAACATCGTCTGATAATGTATATGGAAACCTCATCGTTGGAAAACACTTTCAGTATCTGCTGCCTTCTACAGCTCCTATATGTCTGCAGAAGCTGGAAGAATAAGGACAGCTGATTTGTTTCCCCGCAGCAAAAATCCTACCAAATCTTGGCCTCCATCAAATAATGTTCTTGGAAAAATAATAAAGATGTGAGGCCAATGAGCAGCTCCCATGAACAGGAATCCCACGGACACAATGATGCAGCACTGGTAGATCTCAGAAGCCAGAGGCAAACCTACATCTAGCAGTGATATACAGGAGTCATGGAGGTTTCTAGCATGTATGACCTGGTATCAAGCTTGCTGCCACGATATCATGCGGGATGAATGAAAAATGTCCAATCATAGCTGATTCTTGCACATAGAGATTAGTACAGAGACCCCCTTGGAATAGTTCTTTACATTTCTTGACATTGCAATCAATTCCTTCCTCTCTATCCACATTTTCAATCACATAGCAAAACCATTTTTTTATTGTATTGAAATCATTTATTTAATTAATAAAATACTGTGTTTGCAATATTGCAAAACATGCATATGAATGTTGCAAAACATGCATATGAATGTTACAAAACATTCATGGAAGAACAATGACTGCTATTTATGACTGAATCCTGTGATAGAGTGGGGATAGAGGTGGGTGCCTGGATCCCTCAGTAAAATTACCGCCCCTGCAGACTTTCGCTTTAGACCAGAGCAATGGTTTTCTGTCTCTTATCATCTGGGGTCACCAGTCGTTTTCCACTGCCACCAGCAATAATACTTGCTTGCCATCGTAGAGAATATACTGGCAAGCTGGGTGAGTAAATGGGAGCACCCTATCCCCAGGATGACATTTCATAGTCTCTGAGTGGTAGTCTTTGACACTTGGCGTCCCTTTTCCAATCAACCCTGAATGATTCTGATACACTTGACCCTTGCTGAGAACTGCTGGTTTAGAGACCTCTTAAGTTTCTGTATTCATATTCTAGGGGAAATAGAGTAGCTAGTTAGATGGTTTATCAATTTAACTAGGATCTAAAGGTAATAAATCCACCCACTCCACCCTTCAACAGCATTAAATGCCCTTTGGCACCAAATTCTAAATTTTATGAGGAATTTTACCTAAGCTTCCTATTTATACTAATGGGGAGGAGAAGGAGAAAAGGAGAAAGACAGACAGATACCTGGAAAGATTCGGGAAGCAATGGTTTGTCAGTTTTCAGCTTGCTGATGCCACCTGCAGTTATGTGTGTGTGTGTCTTAAATTAATTCCTCGCTCTCTTTACCTGCTAGACTTTTCTTAAGTGTTCAGCAAGCATTCAGAACCAGCTCTACCCTTAGTGATGAGCTGAGGAGGTGCCTCTTGTGGTGGTCATTTTCCCTGCCCTCACAATGATGCTGCCAGGAGCTTGCCATCAATGAATTGTAGAGACCGACACTTTGCTTTAAGACGTCCTGCTGTGCCGAAATGTTGCTTCCTCTGGAAGGGGAAGGTAGTCAACCATCTCACTCCATTACACTTTCTTGTGTATGAAAGAATTTGTCAGATCTGTTGCTCCCAGCAGATTTTGATGAAAGACAGGAGGAAAGAAGTGGGAGTTGCCCATGCCAAGCGGGAAGGACCACCTGGTGAAAGAAGAGAGGAGTGCAAGGTATAGGTTGGCGCCAATCTGGGCATGCAGCAGATACTCAAAGGAAAATGGAGATGTTGTTAAAGGCATAAAGCTGCAGTTACATAGGATGAATAAACCTAGGGATCTGATGTATAGCATGAAGTGGTTAATTAACAATGCTGTATTGTGATTAATAATGCAGTGTTGTGGTTAGCAATGCTGTGTGGGGGTTAACAATGCTGCGTTGGGGTTACTAATGCTGTGTTGGGGTTACTAACTCTGCGTTGGGGTTACTAATGCTGCGTTGTGGTTAATAATGCTGCTTTGGGGTTAGTAATGTCGTGTTGTATTTAATAGTGCTATATTGTGGTGAATAATGCTGCGTTGGGGTTAATGATGCTGAGTTGGGGTTAATAATGCCGTGTTGCATCCTGAGAATTTGCTAAGAGGGTAGATCTCAGGTGTTCTCAGCACCCACACATACACACGTAGCCACATGAGGAGGTGGATACATTCATTTGCTTGACTGCAGTAATCATTTCACTTTGTTTATCATTTAGGACCTTTAAATATATACAGTATCCCTCATCTCACACACACACACACACAGACACACACACAGACACACACACACACACACACACACAGCAGTAAGCAATTGCAATCCAATGTCAGCTTTTCTTTTCTTTTTTGAGACGGAGTCTTGCTCTGACACCCAGGCTGGAGTGCATTGTTGCAAGCTCTGCTCACTGCAACCCCTACCTCCCACATTCACGGAATTCTCCTCTCTCAGCCTCCTGAGTAGCTGGGATTACAGGTGCACTCCACCATGCCCAGTTAATTTTTGTATTTTTCATAGAGATGGGGTTTCATTATGTTGGTCAGACTGGTCTCAAACTCCTGACCTTGTGATCCACCTGTGTCGGCCTCCCAAAGTGCTGGGATTTCAGGCGTGAGTCACTGCACCTGGCCCAATTTCAGCTTTTCTGTGCTTTGTATCTGCTGTTCTCAAAAGAAGGGGCGGGGGGAAATTACAAATCACTACCTGGAGCCATCTCTAGGGAGGTTTTTAGCATCCAAGGCAACCCTTCAGCTACTGATTCATTCTTTCATTTCCTTAGCAAAATGAGCAAGCCCTCAGGAACTGTACTGAGCTCTTGGGATGAGGACAAATAAAAGAAGGAACAACAGAAAAGTCCTCCTCTGTTGTAGACAGAGCGTAGAGGAAGGCTCAGGGGAGACGTCACAGCCAGGGCTTGGAGGATGGGAAGGAAAGGATGTCCCCACTTGAGCCTATGGGGCGGTCGGTCCCAGAAGGAAGAAGAGCCTGTGTAAAAACCCTGAGGGAAAATCTTTCCCTGCCTTTCTCTCCTAGAGACTGACGTGAGCATTAAGGGCTGGATCTAAATGACAAGAAGTTAAAGCAAACATACCAGCCATCAAATGCATAACTACATAGAGGAAAGTAGGTGCGAGGAAGCCGAGCAGGTCTGTTTTTCTGGGGATGTTTACAGCTGGAGTTCATGCATCTACACAGCACAGTATAATTTTAGCATTAACTTCCCTAGACACCCTCTTTTCTGATATCCACAGGATCCCTTTTCTCAGATTGGCTTGGTCCTACTTAGTTTTGTTAAATGCGTTAGGAAATATATGATTTTATTTCTAGGAATGACCCAAGATTAATATAAGGTAGAGAAAAATAAACTGTATTAAGAAGAAAGTGTTTTATTGGGCTGAAGTAGGGCAAATGATAAAGAGAGGAGATATACAAAGAAAAACTTTTTAATATACCTTAAGTTCTGGGGTACATGTGCACAACGTGCAGGTTTGTTACATATGTATATATGTGCCATGTTGGTTTGCTGCACCCATCAACTCATCATTTACATTAGGTATTTCTGCTAATGCTATCCCTCCCCTAGTCCCCAACCCCCCGACAGGCCCCGGTGTGTGATGTTCCCCTCCCTGTGTCCGTGTATTCTCATTGTTCAACTCCCACTTATGAGTGAGAACATGCAATGTTTGGTTTTCTCTTCTTGTGTTACTTTGCTGAGAATGATGGTTTCCAGTTTCATCCATGTCCCTGCAAAGGACATGAACTCATCATTTTTTATGGCTGCATAGTATTCCATGGTGTATATGTGCTGGGCAAAGACATTTTAAGAACTGTGTTCAGAGTTGTAAGAAGTATGATATGGAAATGACAATTCTTGGCCTCAGTACCTTGCATTGTGGTGAGAAAAACATGTGGCTCATGTTTTATCTCAGCTGCATTTTATTTACAACTATTTAATAGCCTGGTGACCTGAAAATAACTTCTCTAGGTCTTGGGGCTTGCATTGAAAGTAGTTCCCTACTTTATTTGGGATTCCATAGAAATCAGCTTTAGGGGCAGTTTAATTCCAGTGAAGCGAGAGTGAGGGAAATTGGAACCAGACAGAGATGCCAAACGTGCTGGGAAGCTGTGCTCAGCTTCAGAATCAGCCCAGGGAGATGCTCTGTCTCACCGGTGCCTCTAGACAGCCTGGGTGTACCCCTGGGGCCCGATGTTTACCATGAGTCCTCTCAGTTCCTGTGTCCCCTTCTCAAAGTATGACCCCTGGGGCATTGATTCCCTCTGATTTTGGGCATCCCATATGTCTGCTGAAGAAGCCAGAGCCTCAGCAGGCTCAGTGCAGCCAGCGTTTGGGTGAGGTGGCTCTGTTTTATCGGCCAATATCTTGCAGGGCTCCTGGCTCTGGGTGGCATCAGCACCTGGGTTCTGGATTCATGGCCACAGAAACAGAGTGAGCCATTGCACCAAACAAGGCAGGCAGAAGTGTGCTGCTAAGAGGGGCACTTGGAAACTGAGGCATGTTTGCTGAGCGCTTGCATTGTGCCAACTTCTGTAGGGTGCAAGTATATTCACATCTTTTAGTGTCTTGTAAACATGCTTTTGGATCTCATGTGATTACTGGTATGCATGTATGCATGTGTGTGTGAGTGTGTGTGTTTGTGTGTGCCCTGAATTATAGCAGTGTTTTCTTCTCTTGCCCACCCTCCTGGCTCTTGTTTTGTGTGGTGCTCCTTAAGCCTGGATACTGTGGTTGCTGGTCAATTACAAACAACCAGATGTGAAGGATAAATAAAAAAAATTGCAAAGTTTTGCCAAGTGTAGATATAAGCCCGGGAGGAAATATTTGCCGAACAGTCTCTGTGTATTTAGGATTGTTTACTGATCAACCACGGATTTAAGTGATAAGTTCCCAAGTTACAAAAAAAGAAAGCCCATTTGAATCCAGCATCCCATGATGCTGAGCAGAGGGCCCTCTGAGTCTCTCGTTCTCATCTGTGATTTGGGAATCAGCCTCCTCCATTGTTGACTTATCGTGGAGGCCCCAAAGGTCTGCCCTGACCTGAGTGGTTAGTAATATATGTCACTTCCCTGCATGCTGTACCTGGTTAGCTCCAGCTGCTGCCTGGGCATGTTCATGAAGTAAAACAAACTCATGTCTGCTGCTATTGTGTGAGGCTGATGCATGATGGAGGTGTGAGCTGGACGGTGGTGCAGGCTGCCGGGGCGGTGGTGCAGGCTGCTGGAGCTCTGCTTCCTTCTCCCATGTCTCTGCCTCCGACACTCCTCACTGTTTCCTCCCTCGAGCTACAGAGCAAAGAGCATGATCCGCAAAACGCCTTTTGGTCTAGAGTTCGAAGAGTCTCCTCTGGCTTCCTAAGCCCACGTGGAAAATAGGCACTGACGTTGCTCTCCTCAAAGCCCTGATAAATTGTCAGGAAGGAGGCAAAGGGGCTTTCACCTTGGATCTCAGGGAGACACAAAAGAGAAGAAGATGGGAGAGGGGCTTGCGGGCAAAGCTCCTTCCCAAGCCATGATTCCCCACAGTCCTGGCTGCATCCAAACCCTCTTCCACGTTCACACAGTGTGCAAACAGCTTTTGCCTTTGTATAGATAGGTGGGTGAACGTGAGGATTTAATTTTTCTACTTCGCATGACAAAGTCCTGTTGTTTAGCAAATGGCAGGTTTACATGAACTTATAACATAACTTGGAACATTTAAATCAAATTCCCTCACACAAAAATTCACACCTCATTGTCAATGCGGTGCTTCTGAGAGCTAGTCACAGCTGGAAATTGCCAATCACTCCAAGCTTACTGTTGCTTATACCCTGGAACCATCCTATATTTTGATTGTCATTAAGGGATCTTTGTTGGGCTATTGCTAACACACAGTATCTAAAAATCACATAAAATATTAGTTTCCTTTCTTTCCTCAGGCTAGAGAGTTCCATCTACTCTCTGATGCATTTTTAGTGGTGTTAAACTGCCTTAAGGCTTGAAGAAATGAGTCTAAAAATTGCCGCTATGAAAAGAAAAAATGACCCAGAAAAGACACATTATGTGTGAAAGTCAAACGGGTAATAAAAGGCATTTCAATATCCACAGCAGATGCACATTCATCTCTCCGATGATGGCATTTTCTGGAATGCTGAGCAAGTCACACAATGGGACATTGTTTCCCTAGCATGTGGCTGGCTTGCTTGCAAATGGTCTTCCCAGCCTTCCTGGTCTTGCTTATTAGGATCGTGTCCCTAAGGGGCATCCCTCAGCAGAGGCCATCCGGTGAATTGTCCAAGTTCCCATCTGAGTAGTGTAAAAACTCCCTTATAGGACAATCGGAGAGGATACCTAAAGCATTTATTTTAAAATAGAGATGAATGTTCCCAAGGGTTCACGTGCCGCGTGGATGCTGAGAGACTGCACACAGAGGCCGGGTTGTGTTTTTCTTCCTAAAGCCCTTCAGTTCAGAGGCTTCTTCCACATCTAGGAGATGTTCTGAATTCCTGCTTCTGCCTCCTGGTTTTTGCTCACATTAGTTCCAAAGGTATTTATTGCAGGGCTCTCAGAAGCTCCATGAGCAGTGCTGGAAGCTGTGAGAGATTTCAAGGTGAATGACACACCGCGGTTCCCTCGGAGGTTAACACCTTCCCAACCGGCCTCTTCTCCCAAGCCTCCCACTCTTCCATACTTCTGTGCTTTGTGTTAATATCCTGAGACTAAACCTGAGATGGAGCAATAAAGGAACTAAGTTATATGCCTCAGAAGTGAGAGAAGGGAGGTGAGGTGGAGGCAGAGGGTATAAACCTAAGTCATTGTATCTACTGGGGAAGGACACCGTGCAACTTCAAAACAGGAAGGTAGGAGATAGCCTCCATGGTAATGGAAATAACCTTTGAAAAACATTCCTGGACAAACCAAGTTATATGCAATTGTCTGAACAAACCTCAGCTTTGTTACCAACAGGGTTTTGCTGTGGTGGTTTTTTAATCCATAACACATATACTCATTTTGGAAAAAAAAAATACATTCTATGCATCTTTCAAGACGTAACCCAAATTTCAGTTTCCAGCATAAGTTCTTCTTATCTTTTTACTAAAGGCAAATCAGTTCTTTTTTGTTAATATTCCCATAGCAATTTAGATTTAATATATTGACCAAGAGCTGTTTGATGAAGTATCTCTTACACTAGCAGCTCATTAATACGGTCCAGGGCTCGCCTCATGTCTGGTGCATTTGGGGACGGCCGTAAATGAGTGCCAAACCCCTGTAGGTCGGGCATAGCAGAGGCCCATGGAAAAGAGTGAAGAGTGAGGAGCAGCTAAATGTTTTCAAGATGCTGAAGAATATTAGATATTGGAGGTGTTCTGGTTGGTTTTTCCTCTCTCATTCCTTTTCTTGAATCAAACGTCACTCTGTTGCTCTAAAGTTAGAAAAACACTGTCGTCTTTCTAATAGCGTTTCCAGAAAACTTTTTAGCACCTTGTTCAGGAAACTCCCCATATAACTGATTCTACGTATTGGGAAAAAGCAGTGTTTTAATGTGAAAATCAAGTAAGATGGAGGAAGGCAGGGAAAGAGAAAAATAGAGAAAGAGAGAGGGAGATAGGGAGAAAGAGATGGCAAAGATGGGAGAATGACCCATATATAATAAGGATAGCAGTGTTATTTGCAAAGTAAGTTAAAATGGATATATGAAGTTGAATTAATAAGTCTATAAATTCTGATGTATAAAATGTAGTTTTATTTGTACTGTGATTGGTAATTTCTTTTGTGGGATCCTCATTTTGTCTGAGTCAGAAAACTTTATCTGTTCATTCTTAAAAGAGTTAAAATTAGTGATTTCCCAGTGAAGCAGGTTAAAAGTCAGATCTGGACATCCCTTCACTCTCTCTCAAGGACGTTAAGGGCCCGGGCTGTGGAGAGGGCATTTTGGCCTTAGTGAGAGCAGGCATCTCTCCTCCATCCCGCCTGTGCCACTCACTCCCAGTCATAACCTTTCCTAGGCCTCTGCCCTGGAGGCAGGTGGACCTGGGGGAGGCTCATGGGCTTGACCTTCTCCATCACGGGCTCCTCCCACCTTCTCCAGACTCTATGAAGCACCAGGAGACACAGGGGCTTCTCCATGAGGCCACAGCTGGGAACTAAGGAGTCCTGCATTACTCCTGAACACACAGACACAACGCGGGGGTTCTGTCTTGTTCTGTCTCCTCACCCAGCTTGGGTCTTGGTCCCAAGTATGGTGGGGAAACATGACACTGGGCTTCCACAGCCTCCACGCCACCATCACACTTATCACCACAGCTCCAGTGACAAGTTCTGGCGGTAGCCAGACCGCTTTAAGCAGGACTCAGCTCCATTCCTTCTCACTGGGCAGGACCCCCCAGCCAGGGCTTCCAGCCTCTCCTGCCTATATCCAAGCACAGGCCAGGAGTTCTGACTTCTCCTTGGGATGGGGTGCCTGCGGGGAGGGCCAGGCCACCACCTTTGCTGTTTGGGCAACTCATCGATTCCACACTGTGGGCTTTGACTTTATTTCTTATAGTGGAGAAGCAGGAAGTGGGAGAACCTACCATCACATCTCCTTTACACCTATTTCATGATGTACACCTGGATCCCACTGTGAATTTGGAAGTCTGTAACTTTTAACGTGTGCTGTGCTAGGACAAAAGTCCTCAGAGTTTTAGTAAAATACAGGGGGAAGAAAAATCAAAGCTGTGCATACTCACACACACACACACACGGATGTGCACACACACACGGATGTGCACACACACGTAAACACACACATAGACCCTTCAGCATTCACCCTTCCTCCTGCTCACAGCTTTGTTCCTCTTAAGCAAATACTTTCATTCAAGCAACATTTCTAAACCTTTGATAAAGTGTGGCTGCAGCTACTGCCCCCATGCCATCCATCTCCATTTTACAAGGACAAATATGGCAAATCCAGGCTTGAATGTCACGCTGAAGAAAAGGTTTCCTCAAATTTTTGTGTTTTCTGCTGCTTGAGACTGAAAAACATTTTACCTAATGTATTTTTTCTTTTTGCTGAAGATGCAAAAATGTTTAAATGCCTACCTTCGATACCTAATAATATATATATATTCCTTTTATATTTATGAGTACTGAAGTATATGTTTGAAGTGGACTTTTTAACACAGAAAGATATATATCTGTCTTTCTATAGCTATCTATCCATCTATGTATCTATCTATCCACTTGTTTATCTTTCTGTCCATCTATCTGTCATCTGTCAATCTATCTACCTAACCAGATGGATATCTACTTACCTATCCATTCATCTATCTATCCATCTATGTATCTATCCATCTATTTATCTGTCTCTCTAATCCGTCAATTCCTCCATCTATCTATCATCTATCCATCTATTCGTCTGTCATCTATTTATGTATCTATCTACCTATCATCTATCCATCCGTCTTTTATCTATCAATCTATCTTTCCATCCATTCATCTATCCATGCATCTGTGTATCTATCCATCTATGTATCTGTCTAATCCATATATTCCTCCATCCAGCTATCTGTCATCTATCCATCTATTCATCTATCATCTATTTATCTATCTAATCTATGTACCTATCATCTATCCATCCACTGTCTATCCATCTTTCCATCTTTCCATCTATCCATCCATCCATCTCTTTGTCTATCATCTGTCTCTCCGTTTATCTGTGTATCTGTCATCTAATCTCTCTATCATCTATCTATCTATCAATCATCTATCTCTCATCTATCTATTGGTTGCATCAGCAGATTCAGTAGACGCTGAGCAGTGTGGGTTGAAAAGAGAGGTAGGAGATCCTTACCTAGCCAGTCAGTAGATTAGTGTAATCTCTGGTAAACAGCGGACAGCTAAGTCAACCCATTTCCTGTTTTGAACATTAGTTTAATCTTCGAGTCACCTCAAATTATTTTTCAAAAATAGTTATGATACCAATGTTTAATAAGTTCTCAAATAGTTATGCTCTATGAGAACCATATTTAGAAATTGCTTGTATTACAACTAAAGCGTGTTTGGAAATAGTTTACTCACTTAGAAAGAGTCTTTATACTGAGGTAAAGTGAATTATATGGTGATAAATGTCTTCCGAAATCAAATACGGAGCAATTTCAGAAGTGTTAAGCATTGAAGAAGCAGAAAATGTATGTTTCCCTGTTGTATTTAATTGAAAAGTCAAAATTTTGCTGCTTTGTTTGAGTTAACTTTTGCTGTGTGATATTTATTGTCAATGTACCATGTATCTTGATCTTACACAAAATCGGTTCTCCAGTATTTCTTACAGTTACTAACTACTAACAATTGTCTCAGTTGTGCAACGTAATTAATCTAGGGCGGACTAAAGTAACTTGCCAATAGAAAGGCACTGCTAGCTTTTTTCTCCTGGAATTTTCCTCTGAGACTTCTTTCCAGAAAACCAAGTTAGATTATCTGATGTTATATCTGATTTATATTACTTCAAATATAGTAATCATAAATCAGTGAAAACTTAGTTTATTATATATTCGACATCGAAAGCACACATGGCTTGGAAATTGAACTGATTCATGTGTTAGATAAAATGAGAGCAAAAGATTGAATTAATAAATTAGAATTGGGGTCTTATTTAGTTTCTGCCTCAACTTGATTTATTCCCACGTGGAGTCTCCTCCTCGGCTGTGCTGCTGGAATGGCGTTTACCCACATTGGCTCTGTTTGCCAGCTGCAATCAAATGAAGAGGTTGCTCCTGTTAATATTTTTAATGCTTTGAAATTAGAGAAGCTTCCATATTCTATTGATGGCTTTTTCCGATAATTTGCAAAAAGGTTTCATGATCGTAATTATGGAATGTGTTCTATACTGTACTCTCAATGTACTGAATATGAATGTGCGCAGAGATTTCTGGACTAGCTTGTGATACCAGGTGATGATTGTGGAAGCTCAGGAGCAATCCTCCGCTCTCCACTGAACTAGTCTTTGAAAACTTTCCTTTGGTGGAAATCTGAGAAGAGTAAGAGCCGAGTTCAGGTCCTGGAGAGTGCACATGACTACCTTGATGGGTGAGAAGAAAGGAACGGTCTAATAGAAACAGCCTAAGTGTTTTTATTTTAACTTTTAAATTATAAAGTAATAGAATCAGGAAAAAATATAATCATTTGAATATATAAACAAAAATTTGTATTGTGATACTTGTGATACTACCGCTCAAAAATGGGTTGTGCCTATCTTCCTAATATTTAGATATAAATATAGATAGATCATAGTTATTTTCAGTACATACAATTTTGTATTGTCCTTTTTTCTTTTTCTATATTACTACATGTCATTTTTATTTTTCTTTATTGCTACATATATTTTATATTTGCCTTTTATAAAGCGATGTTGCATTCTTTCAAATATATCCAAAAAAATTTAGTCAAGCACAGTCCTGTTGTTGGACACTCTAATGTCTTCTGAAGAATATCACCAGAAATTTCCTATATTTTGGATGATAAACATATATTGCCAGAAATGAAATCAATTAGTCAGAGTGGTGATATTTTCTTTTCTAAAATTGAGAAAAACTGTAGATATTTATGGTGTACATGAGAGTCTGGAATATGAATACATTGTGAAATGGTCAAATCAAGCTAATTAACATACCCATTACTTCACATATTTGTCATTTTTCATGGTGACAACTTTCAAAATCTCTCCAGACAATTTTCAAGTATACAATATGCTGTTATTAACTACAGTCACCATGCTGTGTAGTAGATCTCCTGAGCTTATTTCTCCTAAGTGAAATTTTGTATTATTTGTTTCCTCTCCTTCCTCCAGCCCCTGATACCCACACTCTGCTACTGGGAGTTCTATTTTTTCCAGATTTCACCTAGAAATGAGATCATGCAGTACTTGTCTTTCTGTGCCTGGTTCATTTTACTTAGCATAATTTCCCCCAGGATCAACTGTGTTGTCACAAATGGCAAGATTTCCTCTTTTTTAAAAAAGGCTGAATAGTATTCCATTGTGTACACACACGCGTGAACACACACACACACACACACACACACCACATTTTCTTTATCCATTTCTCAGTCCAGTGTTGGACCCCTGCATTGATTCCACGACTTGGCTATTGTGAGTAACGCTGCAGTGACTATGAGAGTGCAGATATCTCTTCAACGTATTGATTTCATTTCCTTCAGATATAGGATCAGAAGTGAAATTCTAGATCATGTAGTAGTTCTATTTTTAATTTTTTCAGCAACCCCTATACTATTTTCCATAATGAGTATGCTAATTTACATATTTTACATTTCTAACAACAATGTACAAGGGTTCCCTTTTCTCCACATCCTCACCAACACTTATTATTTTTTGTCTTTTTGATAATAGCCATCTTAACAGGTGTGAGTTGATATCTCACTGTGGTTTTAATTTGCATTTCCCTGATGATTAGTGACACGGAGCACCTTTCCATATACCTGTTGGTCGTTTTTATGTCTTCTTTAAAGAAATGTCTATTCAGGTCCTTTGCCCATATGTTACATGGGTGATTTGTTTTCTTGTGATTCCCTTGTTTGAGTTCTTTGTATTTGTGGATATGAACGCATTAGCAGGTATTTTGTTCTCCAGCATCTTCTCCCATTCTGCAGGGTGTCTCTTCACTCTGTTTGTTGTTTCCTTTACTGTGCGTAAGGGTTTTAGTTTGATGTCATCTCGTTTGTCTGTTTTTGCCTGTGTTGTCTGCGCTTTGGGGGTTTAGGCTTATTGATTGTTTTTCTCAAAACAGAATACAATTTGCTACTGATACGTAAAGGAATATTGGTTGGATGTAGGAAAAAAATGCATGAAAAAGATAGAGGTGTTATAGGAGCAGAGAGCCCTCCATGACTAAGGATTGGTGTGCTGCAGTCGTTGAAATATAGTGCTTGCTAAGTTGAAGCAATGCTTCCCCCATCCCTCCCTTTCTGTTTGAACTCCCCTGGAATATTACACTGAATATCAGTGCCTCAGGTTAAGGGGATCATTGAAGAAGTGGCCACACTGAAATTCCAACTCTTCCTACCCGAGGACTCTCATGTCATTTTATTTATTTTCTTCATGGTGCTTTATGACTTTTTGTTTTCTTTATGTTTGGTTTGGTTATTTTTTTCTTTCTTAACTATTATGTTATCTATATGAGATTGTGGCTTTGTGCTATTCACTTCTGCCGCTTTGGTACTTAGAGTGTGACACATAGCAGATGTTCAATGACAATATATTGAAAGAATGATGAAAACTATGAATATTAAAATGTAGGTAAACAGAAAGAACTGGAGACTGATACCTGGAATAGAAAACACAAAGATATAACAATTTTTTAAAAGAAAATTTCTTAAATGAGGTTTAAACACAGACCAATGATCAAAAACGATGGCGGCAGAATATGTCTACAATTACAGATATCTTAAATAACTGTGATGGCTAGCAATGAAAATGGGAATCACGACTGGGTTTTGTTTTTTTGTATTTTTCACATTTCAAATTAGTACATATTATGTTCTTATGATGCCGGGTTTCTCAAAATTAGTTCCATAGAACTCTAGTTGTCCTAGATTCCTGGTGAAAAAAAGAACTTCCTAGACAGATAAATCTGGAAAAGTCTACATCTTTTGAATTCTCTTCATTATTTTCTAAAATAAGCTTTTGCATATTAAGTTTTATTAAGATGAGATGCCCCTTTAGAAAAGAAATGTGTTTAATTTTGTTTACCTAGAATTTTCCCAGTTGCTTTGACTCTGATTTGATGGCTGTTGCCGACATCCATGGCAATCCCTAGAGAGTGTTACATAGATGCCGTGGGGGATGCTGGTGCGATGTTACTTGAATGATATTCACTCTGATATTATAGATATGGATTTTTTTTCCACTAAGCAAGAAAGGAAAGCATCTATTTATGTTTCCCCTATCTTGTCTCTATGATTAACTTCATCCATCCACACTGACAACTGTGCTTCTTTTCCTTCACATCTCCTTATTTCAATTCTGTTTCCTCAACATCAACCCGTGGTTTCTCAAACTAAAAACATGAGTAGAATTTCCTCTTGTAACAATGCGCTTGTCAGAGAGTTAAATAAGCCTACATTTAATTCAATGCCAGAAGCCAGGCTCAGAAGAAGTAACTGGGTGGTGTTCAAACCTGATCTCTGCCTCTCACACTTTTGAATGCAGCTGTCCAGTTTGTGTTCTGTGACAGTGTCTTGTTAATGTTTACAACCGTAAAGCTCCATGTTTGCAAATGCAGCTCTGGAGCCAGGGCAGTTTTTTCTCTAAATCCAGGCTGGATGGATTGCTTTCTTCTAAAACACAGGTGGGTGCAGTGGCTCACGCCTGTAATCCTAGCATTTTGAGAGGCTGAGGCAGGTGAATCACTTGAGGTCAGGAGTTGAAGACCAGCCTGGCGAACATGGTGAAACTCTGTCTCTACTAAAAATACAAAAATTAGCCGGGCCTAGTTGTGCACATCTGTAGTCCCAGCTACTCAGGAGGCTGAGGCAGGAGAATAGCTTGAACCCCGGAGGCGGAGGTTGCAGTGAGCCAAGGTCGTGCCACTGCACTCCAGCCTGGGTGACAGTGTGAGACTCTGTCTCAAAACAAAACAAACAAACAAACAAAAGAAAAGTAAAATATTCTGTTCCTATAAGAATTTCTGAAATATCACTAGCTTTCTTTTAAATATAATTAACATGTGTGATAGCAAAATACAGTCTTTACTGACATATTTTCTTAACCTAGACTTTTTTACTTCTTGTTTTTGTAAAATATTTATTCACGATGAATGACATCCAACTTCCTCTTGTTTTCAGGGTACAAAATTTCTTCACATTTATTTTCTTATTAAAGCCACACTATTCAGTGAAGTCATTTTTGCTATTTTATTCTGTCTTAGTCATGACAAGTTAAGGTTCATGTGTTTGTTTAGTTCTGAAGCTGGCACAACAGGAATCTGAACCCAAGTCTTTTGATTTTATAACCTTTGCTAAATTACAGGGTTGCCTCTATACATACTACCTAATGAGTTGCTTAATGTCTTAGGCTGTTTTAACTGAACAAGATCGTAGCAGCCATTTTGCTGATTTTTTTTTTTTTCCTAAAGAAGTCTTCTGTAAATAATTTGGGTTTTTTTTTTTCTTTTTTAACGGCTTAGGGTTGGTGCAAATGTACAGTTTTCATGTGAGGACAATTACGTGCTCCAGGGATCTAAAAGCATCACCTGTCAGAGAGTTACAGAGACGCTCGCTGCTTGGAGTGACCACAGGCCCATCTGCCGAGGTAAGGCACCTGCGGTGGGTAAAGCCTGGATTATCTCTTTCTTTAAGGTTGGCATTTTTATGAATATACAATTTAAGCATGAAGCATTGTGTATGGGAAGAGTAGAATTCGGTAGTAATGTATGTTTTCATAGTGATGTGGGTAATAACAGAAACCTTTCCTTGGAATTTGCTGAGAGGCTAACATTTCCAAGAATATTTTTGTGTTTTACATTTGAGGATAGATGTGAGCAAATCCACACATACTGAGTATAACTTGGTATCTATCAATACACACAAACAGTGTGCATGTGTGTGAATATATGTCCCACAGCTGGACCTGCCGGAAAGGTTTCTGTGCACCCCGCAAACCTAAAAATGTTCACTTTCCTATTGCAGTGAGGTTGAATTTTTTAGGTATTAATTATGTAAGTAATAAAAGGAATTGTTAGCCTGATTGCAAATCATCATTTTATTAATAAATGATCTTTAATCTCTAACATAGTTAGCAGAGTAAAATATTCATCATTATTGTCATCATCATTTTCTAATAAAACATACGAAGTCAGCAAAGGTTAAATTACTTATTTTTTACTGCTATGAAGTATACACAAATTCTTACCAGAATTACAGAAATCATATTGAAAAGCAGAAAATTATTTTGGTTGTTTTAAAATGAAAATAATAATAAAATTAAAGAAATGCTGGGTTTGGAGGTTTTGTTTTTGAATTTTGGCCATAAAATGATTTATGTAAACTGGTAGTTTTGGGAGAAAAAGCCCTAGTTTGACTAAAAAGGAAAGCTTCATATGTAAGAATACCTTATCTTTCCATATAGTCTTTTCACGTGAATGGACTTATACATTTTAAACTTTTAAGCATTTTAGTTATTAAAAAAGGTACAACAAGCATAGTGTCATTGCAGCCTGTGAAAATAACTAGTTACCAAACACGTCACTATCGTCCTCTAAGCTAAGAATACTCTTTGGCCCCATTTACTGTATTGTACCTGGTCCCTATAACCACTAGGGGTCAGTCACATGCAGGGGATACAGCTTTGCAGGACCCGCCCCACCGGAAGGGGAGGGAGGGTGTATGGCCCAGCTGATAGCGAGTTGTCACCTCTTAAATGGAGACCCTTCAGGAGAGTCAGCAATCTCTGGTCCAGGAAATGCACATGGCTGTCCCCTTCTTTTTGTCACTAGACAACTTTGATTGTGCATTTTTCAATTCTAACATAAGACCCTTAAGCACTTCAAAGAGCTGTACTAAAATTCATGTTCCCACTAGGGCTGGTGATGCACAAGCCTCCCAATTATACAGGAGGAACGAGTCACATGGATTATTTTTCCTTTGGGGAAAAAAAAATCCTTCAATAGTTTTCTTGCTCTTATATCCGGGAAATAGGCTTCATTATTTTTAAAGTTCACTTTAGACAAATAGTAAATGTGCATTCTTTTAAATGTTACTTTTAAATCAGTATTTTAGAGTAACTTAAATATTTGCCTTTATATTATTTGATTTTATATGTTTACCTATGACATTGCCTTTCTTGGCCCTGACTCTCATCTTAAACTCAAAGCCCTTTCTCAGTATCCTATCCCAAAGATATCACACACTCAGAGGTGCTTATCACTTAGGAAACAGCTGCTCCATCCAGGCTGAAGGTGGAGACATTTCTCCCATCCTTCTCAACCCCCCAGCTACTCACGCTTAGAGATAATTAGAAGAGGATTCTTTGTGGTTTCCTGTTCTCGTCAATTCAAGTGTCCCACTTGATCATATTTTGGAAGAGAACACTTTTTTCGCAGGGTCTCTCTTGTTTGGTGTGTTTGGTTTAGTTTTCTGGAACGTTACTAGTAATCGCCAAGACTCTGCCTCTTCCTTTCAACTCCACAGGCAAAGAGTGCCTGGCTTTGTCAATCTTCTGTTCTTACTGATGATTCCCTCGTTCTGCTTAAGTTAGATATACTTTGATCAACATTGAATAGTACTTCAGTTCTTATTAGTTCTTATTAAGTTTATTACTTCTAATAAATTTAGTAAGAAGTAAAAATGTATTTGAAGTAATAAACTTAATTTTTTGTCTGAAATAATGACTTATACTGCTGGAAATAATTCCTAAGGAGGTGTTTTTATAGTGGATGGGTTTTACTAGTGTTGACTCAGTTAGACAAAGGCCATGCTCTCACATATTTTTGAGATAATCGTTTCTCCATCTTGGACTCCTGCTGACACTTCAGAGGGACAATGCTCCTTATCTATCTAGTTGCATCAGTTGATAAGATGGATAAGAAACCCTCAATTTCTTGAAAAGTATCCTTTCTGGGACCTAATACTTGTGTTCTGACCTTACAGTCACTCTGAGGTTTCAGGGCATGGCTGCGCAGCCACACGCTCTGCCTTTCCTGTCTAGAATGCTTGTGCAGCTGTAGCTTCCAAATGGCAGCCTCTTTTGCCATCTGCAGAGGCTGAGAAGTTTCAAAATCACCCAGCCCTGATTCCTGTTTGTTTGATAGTCCTCCCCTCAGTTTATGTCTTTCCTATCATGTTTTAGTATCAGCAGCAAGAAGAAATCAAGTGGCCTCTTGGACACATGGCCTGCAACTCTCCTTAGCTGTCCATCTGTGTTTGTCGCTGAACACCCTGCTTCCTACCTAATCACAGAACCACTTCTGCTAAGCTTCTGCCACCTCTTTCGGTTTCCAGGAATATCTCTAGCTCTTTCCAAGTCCCATCAAGAGTATCCTTACAAGATAGATTTCTACTAGCAGTCTATTCGAGGCACCTGAGGCCTTCTCTATGACACTCCCCAAAACCATGCAGCTCTGACCCACAACCCGGTTCCAAAGCTGTGCCCACATTTGCTTCAGCAACACCTCATGTCCAAGCAGTTGACTCTGTGAGTAAAAATTCAAGCAGAGAAGCAAATCCACTAGGATGGAGAGAAATGTGTGGGCTTAGATCAGGGAACTGGCTCACATGATTGGTAGGGCTGGCACTATATCTGAATTCTGAAAGACAGGCTGTTAGGAAGGAAAGATAGGGATGAGGCCAGGCTCCCCAGGAAGAGGTCAAAGCTGCTGTCCACAGGCAGGAGTTGCTCTGTAAGGGAAATTCTAAGCCCTCTTTGAAGACTTCCCAACTGATTATGTAAAGGCCAGACAAAATAATCTCCTTAACTTAGTCAGTTAATAAGGTAGTTTAATTATGCCTCCAAAATCCCTTCACAGGAGCACCTAAGTTAGTGCTGGATTGAGTAACTGGGAAAGGTATGTGTTTATTTCCCAAACTATGTATGTGATTTTGAAATATTTAGTAGCTAGACTAAAAAGGGAAAGAGAAACAGGTGAATTTAATTGTAATAACATTTTATTTAACCCAAATACTCCCAAATAGTATCATGCTAACATATAGTTAATACAAATATGATAATGAGATATTTTATATATTTTCTTTTTTTCATACTTTGTTTTGGAAATCCAGTGTGCATTTTCTACTTAGAGCATAGCTCATCTCAGACCAGCTGCATTTCAGGTGCTCAGTAGCCACGTGTGGCTAGCAGTTGCCACATATGACAGCGCAAGTTTAGACATTTACAGTTATGATTTTCTTCCTCACTATGAAAAACCATCAACACCCTTGTAGTTGTGAAGAGGAGAAATGAGCCCAGTGAGTTGTGCCCCACTTCCTGGCTGGCATCCCTCTGTAGAACACTCTTTCTTCAATTAAAATACGTAAGTTCCTCAGGTTGGCAACTTTTAGGAACCCTGAGTATGTCACCATTCCCTTTTTTAAGTAGCGTCTCAATTTGCTTCCGATAATGGATTCATCCATTAGAGAAGAGGTGAAAAACATTTATAAAAGTGGAGCTTTTATAACTTTTTATAAAAAGATAACGTTATATATCTACAGTGTCCAGGAAAATGGATAAATCCTACCTAAAACAGACTACAGGGAATCGTTCTTTGCTGTTGACACGTTCGGTACAGCAGGGACCATTTTCCAAGTTCATTTGTCACTCTTCCATTACCACAAAAAATAGTATCAGAAAAGACAGCATTGGCCAGCGCGGTGGCTCACGCCTGTAATCCCAGCCCTTTGGGAGGCCAAGGCAGGCAGATCACCTGAGGTCAGGAGTTCAAGACCAACCTGGCCAACATAGTGAAACTCTGTCTCTGCAGAGTTAGCTAGACATGCTGGTGCATGCCTATAATCCCAGCTACTCGGGAGGCTGAGGCAGGAGAATCACTTGAATCTCGAAGGTGGCGGTTGCAGTAAGCAGAGATCGTGCCACTATACTCCAGCCTGGGTGACAAGAGCAAAACTTCATCTCAAAAACTAAAAAGGAAAAAAAAAAGACAGCATCATAGTTTTGAATTTTCCTGATTCATTCTTAGCCTCTAAAGGTGGCCTGATAATGATCGTTTCTGCCACATATTCTCAACTCAACCGTCTATGAAATGCAATAAAATGCCCCTGGTCTGAACATCAGGTCCATTCTGAGCATAAAGGTATTCCAGCGAGGTGCATCCAGGAAGGACTGATTCTCAAGGTTCCTATTTTCATGAAGGGACTGTAACTCTGAAGTAATGATCATGCCTTCTCTGGAGCAGGAATATCTGATGGAAGCATTCGATAAATTGCAGTGAGTCAGAAGTGATCCTTCCATCTGGAGGCTGGTGTGGTTAGCCAATGCTTACATTAGCTAATTAGCTCTGAGAACGGGGGGCAACATTACCTTTTCTTCCTGTTACCAAACAGATGAATGGTTGTCATAGCTCAGTAATTATACAAGTGATTTTGTTTGGAATTACGCTTACTTCATTTAGGAATATGAAAACAACCATTATGATTTTTTGCAGGGTAAGACATTACGAGCTGTTTAAAACTGTATGAGTATCTTTAACTGGCAGTAGATTTTTAAAATAAGCAAACAAAGTGGAGAGAAGAGTATATCGTTCTATTTTTTTAAGTAAAATGTTCAGGCTGGTACTTCATTCCATCAGTCTTTAGGGGCGATTTATGTAGAGAACTTCTTTAATGCTAATGCACTTTGATCTGTAGAGTTAATATTTTGAGTTGCTCCCTGAGATGAAAAGCCCTCTAAGAGAAATAAAGTATTATTGCCAGTTGTAACTGTGGTTACCTGTGAGCTAATTGGAGCCAGGCAGAGTCAGGGAATAAAGTTATTATTGCGTTGGAATTTCAGATGAGGTTAGCTAAAAATTATTCTTAATTTGTGAACTCATCATTTACCAAAAACTTTTACAGCTTTTTCTTTTCCATTGGTGTTTTCTGCCCTTGTAGAAATGACCTTTTAAAGAGTAATAAGAAGATCATTTACCCCGAAAGATGACTCTTCTTTATACCAGGTTATAGATCCAGTGTCAGGATAATATTTTGTGTATTTGATCAGGTAACCACTGTCTCAGAGATTTAGACAGAAGAACACACGGTTAATTTTTAATTCCTGTGAATTTGGAGAAATTTCTGCTGCTGTTTCCTGACTCCTGAAGCTTTATACTTTTTACCTGAAGGTCACCTGGGAGAAAATATATTTTTCTCCTTATTATTTTTACTAAGTTATTGGCAATAATATAGTTTTGTATCTTATACTACTCTCATACTCTATTGACATCAAAGAACCTGAAAGCTAACCTTAAGTTGGTGCTATTTACATTCCTAGAGCTTGCCAGGGGTGTTTCTCTCCTAGGATTCTTGCATTTGGTTTCCCCTCTCTGGAGTATCCGCCTCCCCCCAGGTATCCCTGTGACTGTCCATTTATGCCGTTCGTCAAATGCCATCTGAACCCACGTCCTTCCAAAACCACTTCTTACAGAGCAGGCCTTTTCCCTCACTTTACAAATCTTTTATCTGCCTTTCTTCAAAGCAGTTTTCTCCTTCTGACATTATATGTCCATGTGTTTGTTAGTTTCCTGCTGAAGGCAAGAAACTTAGTTTTGTTCTCTCTCCGCCATACCCTCAGTGTTCAACTCATGATGAGCACTGCATGTATACTTTTTTTCTTTCTTTTTATTTTCTTTTCTTTTTGAGACAGAGTCTCCCTCTGTCACACAGGCTGTAGTACAGTGGTGCTATCTTGGCTCGCTGCAACTTCCACCTCCCTAGCTCAAGGGATTCTTCTGCCTCAGCCTCCTGAGTAGCTGGGATTACAGTCACCTGCCACCACACCCAGCTAATTTTTGTATGTTTCGTAGAGACAGGGTTTCACCATGTTGGCCATGCTGGTCTCAAACTCCTGACCTCAGGTAATCCACCCGCCTCAGCCTTCCAAAATGCTGAAATTAAAGGCGTGAGCCACCACACTGGCCTTGCTGTGATATGTCAGGCCATGTAGTAAATGCTTTATTGTCTTCTTTTATTCAATCCTTAGAGCAATCATAAGTGGAGTTATGATTATTCTAATTAAATAAGCTGAGTGGCTTAAAATTAAATAAGTTAAGATGAGACAGCTACTGACTACCTAAGCCAGGCCTGGAACCAGGTGTGGTGAAGGAAAGGAAGTTCTTAGCCTCTGTGATATATTATCTTCATTATGGTTCACAATCTGGACGTAAAATTTGTGCTTGATAAAAATGATTTCTCCTAAAAACATATGAGAAATAGGCTATCCAATGTAATTATAAATTTGCTTTAAAAAAAGCTTCTAATGCGACTCCTGAAATCCCACTAATTTAAATTTAATCAATTAGAATGTTTCTTCTTTCAAGTAATTTGATTAATTGAGTAGTTACTATAGAACCATAAGATTTCCTGGAATTGCATTTAAATAAACAGATAAGTTATTACTTTTATTAAGTAAGATAAATTGCATGAAACAAACCTATTTTATACTTAACAAATATTCATTGATTAAGTGGATAAATGTCAAAATGGCATGCATTGGCATCCAAAATTGGTCATTTTTCTTCTCCCTTTCCACTTTCCCTCCTGACGTTTTATATTTTCAATTTATCATTCTGTGAATTCTAGTTTTACTGGGGAGACAGAAAAGATGTAAGTGAAATTTGAGTTTACAGGTCTGGAAAACTGCCAAGCAAGTAACATCAGGTGTACATTAGGTCGTAGTTATTATCCAAGTACCTTTATCAAGCATGTCGGTGAATTTTACTCTCTATTAGATGTTATATTTCCAAGAGGCAAGGCCTTTGCAAGAGTAGAAAGAGGCATTCTACTATAGTTTGTGTAAACGTGCGTCTACAGATATCCACGATGGCAACTTACGGAGAGAGATCTTGTTTTAAAAACTGGCTTGGCACTGGTATACTGTAGTTACTTAATTATGCTGGTTAATCACATACTTCGTTGACTAATTGAATGCCTGTTTAGCACAGAAGCTAAGGGAAGGAAAGAAGTTTCCCTGCCTCCAGGGATGCTATGAAATTGTCCAGTCCCAGTCAGAACAGTTTCCCTCGGCTGTCTCCTGTGTGAGGAGCTGCCCAATCGGTTCTTTGCATGAAGTGAAAAACCAGCAGAGTCCATGAGTGAAGAGAGAGGCAGGTGATAAACTTTCATACGTCTATGTTTCTGAGTCAGAACTTATGGCATCGTTTCGTGACCTCCCAGAACATCAGATAAATTTGTATTCAATACAGCCCCCCAATAGGCGACAAAGCAACACGGATATGGTTTTTAGATAAGATAATGGCAGCCATCCGCTTCCTTTGCAAGGGCCTGCGTGCACTGCCGAGATTTTCTCGACACCCATTATTCTTCCTGCCTCGCAGGCTGCTGTGCCCTTCCCGTCTAACTAGAGGATTTCTAAGGGAGGACAGCAGGCATCCCTAACAGATCATCACCAAAGCTCCCTGAGCAAGGACACTCACTCATTGGATCTACTCAGTACAAAGCTCAGCCCTGGGTCATCTCTTCTTTCTCAGCCTGTCCCATTTTCTTCTCTAACTCTTCTTTTTCTATTTTCCAAATACCTAATTTTTTAAAGCGTAACATATGGTAGACATGAGAAATTATACCCTTCTGGTGCTGGAAGCTGACGGAGGGAAGACAGTGGGTGTGCTAGATGGAGGACTGTATGTTGGCTCTTCTCTCTCCACTATGAAATTCAGAGAAATTAATGTAAGCTTTCCTGGCCCAGGTAATAAGGTGAGCTGCAGGACAGCTAGGGGACAACAGACACTCTGTTCACCACCGTGTGGACATCGGCTGGTAGAAATCACAACAGCTCAAGCCACAGGGTGGTTGTTTAATAAGGTCTCTACACATGCACGGCTGAACTTACGGTAGTTGCCATTTGAAAAACTGAGGGTGATTCTGACTAGTAGAAAACCCTAGATGCAAGGAGGCAATAACTAAATAAATCATAACGAGCCAAATAGGGGGCGCATCATCAGATGGTAAAGAAGCAGATGATTAGGTTGGAGAAGATTTAGAAAGGCAAACATTGAGAAAGTAGCACAAGCTTTCAACAATGTCCTAAGAAGGAGGGTTAGAATTACATAATTACAGTTAGGTTATGTGACTTAAGGCTGTTACACCTATTCAGAAGCTATGCTAATATTTATTGAGGAAACAATCAAATGCTAAAAATTGTTCTAATTGGCAAAGTTAAACAAATGAACAAATCAGACACAAATCTCTGGTCTGAATATTCCCAATATTCATTTTAGATGACCATTTTGATGGCTTAATAAAAAAATGGACAAAAAATAAACAATTTTTTATTAAAATATGTTGCAAAGACGGACAGAGATTTCTAAATTAAAAAAAGAAACATGGGTTAATTTGAAAGCTTTTGGTAAAGAATGTCTCTGAAGGAACTGGGTCCATGACTTGCTTTGTGTGAAACTTGGTACTTCATAGGCCTGAAAATGTGGTGACGGGCTGGCTTCCTATGCATATTTTATTAAAAGTTACTTCACAAATAAAATATGATGCATGAGATGCATTTCATGAGATGCTGGTAGCCAATTTTCATAAGCCAAGTGAGGGGCCAGCTTCACAGCAGGCACCTAGGACACAAAGCCATGGGCGGGGCCAGCTTTAGGGATCTTTCCGGCTGGGAACATCTGGGCCAATGACAGGCTGAGCCCACCTTGTCAGTAGGATTGTAACAAATGACTTTCCCCTGCAGATGTTTTTCAGATGTACTTTTTAAAAGCTTGAAATGCAGGCCGACAATGCCAATATGGTTACATTGCTTCACAATTAAATCAGCAAATATTTATGAACGCTACATGATGTTTATAACAGCTGTTAATTATGAAGTGTTAAAAAGTAGGAAAATGCAACATAAAGGTATTACAACTCAGAGTTTATTATCACTTTTTTCAAAGGTTTTCTAGTTGGATAATGCTAATATTAGAGGGCTTTAAGATTTCACATCTAAAGTTTATGATCCTCTCTGAGAACAGCTCATTAAAACAGACTCATTAGAGAGTGAGATATTAGTGTATAAGAGGGGTCCATGTTTTCATCCAGTCCTTTGTCCAGTGACCTTTAGACCAATGACACACCTACTGAGTTTCGGAAACCCAGTTATGTTTTACCCATGTTTGTTTTTCATTTGGACAGTAAATGCCAGCATTTTAAAAGTTAATTTTAACACACTTATCAATGTAGAATAGGTCAATTTTAGCTAATTATTTCCATAGTAAGTAGGAAGCAACTGAACAGTTGTCTCAAATTATGTTGTCCCATTTTCACATGTCTAGGACTGCAGCGTGGTACACAGTGCTGAGGAGGGACAGGTAAATGCAGAAAGAGGACAGTTCCTAAGGTCAGGGAATGCATAACCATTTAGGAGAGATCTCAGATGAACAGTCACAGTAGATTACAGATTAAAGAAGCATTATGAGGAATAGCCATGATTTGTATTATTATTATTATTATTATTATTATTATTATTTTGACATGCATGGAAGAGAGAAATGTCTGGTTCTTGAGTCCCTTTGGAAAACCTGCGTTCAGTGGTTAATTCTTGTCCCCCCACAAAGTAGCCCTTGTTAAGTCACAAGTCCTGTTGTGCTGAGTTTTGTAGCTGAGTCTGCTAGAATAATAACTGACTTGAAGAAAGGGTTAAACTCAAGGAATGAAAAAATAGAGGATGGGCTATGACGAGGATTAATCCTTCCTATGAAAAATTTTTGTCAGTTTGTGTCATAGGATGTCTTAGGAAAATGAAGCAGAAGTTCTCTTACATTAATTTCTTCTTGTGAAATTAGTTTCTTCTGCTCCTTTCTGAAACCCAGTTTAAATTATGAATGTTAAAACCAGAGTCTCTGCTGACATTATATTTCTAAAATATGTGTATTGATTTAAAAAAAAAAAAACTCCTTTCATAAACTGGAGGCCAATTAAATTATTTTTGTATTCCAGACTAAGTTGTATATATAGAATTATGCAATTTCTATGCTTCACTCAGTCTTTCATTTCAACTTTAAGATTTTTTTTATTTTTAAAGTCACCATTCCTATTTTCTTTCTTTAAACTTGCAATAAATTTTAAGTTCCTATTTGCGTTGTGCTGTAAAGAAATTGGTATAGTTTATTGTAGAATAGAATCTAAAGCTCGAAAGTGACTTTGGAGATCATCTGCTCCAAAACCCTTTTTTAAAGTTGAAAAGACACAATTTATTGGAGGTCAGACAGTGTAAGACGTAGCTGAGATGGTAACTCTGGTTGAATTGCACTCGGCGGTGCCTTTCCCTCTATCTTACTGCAGTCGCACACAATTAGGTGTGTATGGAGACTCTCTGAACAACGACACCTACGTGAACACTCTGAGTCACACTGGGATTTGAAATGGGCTACTTTGGTATTGACATTGCACATGAGGCTGTCATCTGTTAGATCCTTTGGTGAGTGGATAGGCCTTTGGGAAAAATGAAGTGTCCCAGCGTAACACTGCAGATACCAAGCAAAAGTCCTGCCGGCTGAGCAATCCACTTGCTGACTGGAGTCCATGCCCCAGTTGGAGTCCATGCACCATTTTTTTTTTTTTTTTTACTGTGATTAGATAATAGCTAACTTGAAATTTCCCATAAATGTTATGTCTTTACCAAACTGACACAATGTTGTAGAAAATAACGTCGTTTCTATGTGTTTCCAGCGAGAACATGTGGATCCAATCTGCGTGGGCCCAGCGGCGTCATTACCTCCCCTAATTATCCGGTTCAGTATGAAGATAATGCACACTGTGTGTGGGTCATCACCACCACCGACCCGGACAAGGTAAGGCTCCGCCTCCAACCCCTGTGGTTAATGCACACAGCACTCTTATAGGATCTATTGTTGAAGCAAACAGCCCAGCAAATGCTATCCGTGCTTACACTTTACTGTTTGAATTTAAAAGTTCCAGCTGCATCCTGTGTCTAGATGCCACATTCATTGCAGAGCAGTCTGAGATTCAGATGCAAAGTGAGTATTCTCACTGTGGTGCCATTTAGTGCTTCTGGAGAGAAAGTCTACATTCCTCCTTTATGTATCATAGTGCTTTCTCTTATGTCTTTTTCAACTCAGGTCTCATCCACTATATTACAAGCTTTCTTAAATACCACAGTATTTATGCATAGTATGACTAAGTGTTAGAAATGCTCCTACTATACTCAGACACAAAAATACTGTCTTTTGGCCGGGCTCAGTCGCTCAAGCCTGTAATGCCAGCACTTTGGGAGGCCAAAGTGGGTGGATCACTTGAGGTCAGGAGTTCTAAAACCAGTCTGGCCAACATGGTGAAACCCCATCTCTACTAAAAAATACGAACAAAAATTAGCTGGGCTTGGTGGCAGGCACCTGTCATCCCAGCTATTCGAGAGGCTGAGGCCCAGGAATCGCTTGAACCCAGGAGGCAGAGCTTGAAGTGGGCCAAGATCGTGCCACTGCACTCCAGCCTGGGCGACAGAGCAAGACTCCATATCAAGAAAAGATAAAAAACAATTCTGTCTTTTGAATTGTTTTCTACAGTTCATGTGTTTCTTCTCATAAGCTATATACGTTTTTCAAGAATTAAACATCTGAGCGTGTTTTCCTCTTTCTTAAATACTTTGTGTAAAATATATATTTCCTCCAGGGTAGTAATAGAGGGTAATACTGTTATTTCTCTGTAAGTTTGCATACATAGTTTGCAATTATGTTACTACATTTTAAATCTTAGGATAGAAATCATACTCATAATCATGTTTCATTGGCTATCAAATGAATTTTTTTAACTCCTTTTAAGTTCAATATAGATGCTTGCCAGTAGGAAGAAAAAATAAGGTAGACATCTTCATATTGATTTCACTTAAAAAAAACTGTGAGGAAACTATTATAGGTATGGATTTCACTAAATTATGTAATATTAAAATAATTATATTTATAGTAATATTAAATTTACTGAACCCCACTATTTACCAATTATTGAGTTATTACTAACAGTTCTGTGTCTAAGTGATCATCTCTTCATTTTTACATTTTGTCAAAATATCCATCTTATTTATATAGTTTCCTCTCAAAGCTGTTGGGTTGCCAGTTCTAAAAGAGAAATGTTCTGATTTTAGATTCCGTAAAGTGTTCATCACAGATGCCTTTGGTTTTGGTTGGCTTATTTTAGTTCTAAAATCTCAGTTATTATTTATGTAAAAATTCAAGCTTTAATGAGCAGAGCTGGGTAAAACTCCAGGGCGTTGCAGGCTTTCTGAAACACTGAGGAATTTCTGGGCTCTCTTTGCTGTGACAAAAGCCTCCAAGTTTGATTCTGGTATTTCTCAGTATGCTAGAGCCGTGTTGTACCCTGGGACATCAACTACAGTGGTACAAACCTTGTTTTTTCTATATGCTACTCAATGGTTTGTTACTCAGTTTTTTACCAAGAAACTATTATTTTTCAGTACTTGCAATCATCACTTTAAGAACCAGCTCTGCCACTTAGTAGTTGCATGAATTTGGGCAAAGAGATATAGTAATAGCATTTACCTTAGAGAATAGTTGTGAAAAACAGATAAATCCACATGTTGCGTAAGTAAATGTAATATCATTATCTATTATAAGCTGCTAATACTGGTAGTGTAACAGAAACAAGCATAAGATAAATAGAAAAAAACACTTATTAACAATTTGTTAACTATTTACTAAGCCATCTCATTAATTTGTCTAACAAAAAAGAGTTTTATTTCAATTTGAATTAAAATTATATAGTATATAACTAGTTTATTGATAATTATGTTTACTAATTTCTGCATTTACACACTTTTAAATAATTAGAATATTCTGTTTGGTCTCCAGAAAATCATATGATATTGAGAATTTAGAAAAGTTCTGAAGGTTAGATAGTAGAACTTTACAGAGGAAATAGCTGAACAATTGAGTTTGTTTGGGGGCTATATTAGGTGTTGACTTGAGTTAAGAGTAAATAGATTACATGCATTTCCATAGGGGCTCAAATAAAAGCAAATATTTTATATTAAAGGGATTGAGATGTGATCGAGACCAGAAGTATCCCATTGCGACATTTTCAAAATACAGAATTATGTTACTTCTGCAATTTGAGAGGCAGAAGGAACTCTTCTTGAATTTCTTTTAAAGAAAACATAGCTAAAAGGAATTAATTAGATCAAATCAAGGGAATGGTTTAGTTAACCTGTGTATGTTCCAGGTAGTTTTATGAGAATTGCATGAATCTATCACAAATTTTAAAAGTGTGTGAAAGTGGAGATTACATAAAATTAGAAACGCTGGGCAGGAGAAACACAGCAATCAGGGGCTCTCCAGGAAGCTCCCTGCGTCTGCTGCCTGTGATGAGGTTGCTCCAAGCCCCTCTCCTGCCCACCTCCCTGCTCTTAGCCCGCTTCACAGTGGCAGAGCCTCAGCCCTCCCTCAACTGCTCCCTGAAGCTCCTGCTTTCTGCCCCAGGCTCTGCCCTCAGAGTTTGCAAAGCCTGCAGGAGTCTTCTCCTCCTTTTGACACAGCCCCACTTGGACTGAGAGGGGGCTCCCACCGCCCTTCCTGGGTGGAGAAGGAGTGCTCGAATGCGCCCCTGTAATGGGTCGGGCAGAAAACTCTGAGGTGAATTCTCACAGCTCTGCAGCCATCCCTAGCAGGATGGAGCCAAATGCCTGCAGGGACACCGACTCAGTATACCACTCACAGGTGGAATTTCTTTCCATCCCCTTCTTTCGCGTCTTTTGAAGTCAAATGAATGGGCTACCGTTTAGGAAGGCTGCGCTTTAGGGGGATCCACGAGGAGACGAACTTGAACACGCAGTAACTTCACTTCTTCCTGTAGCCCTTTCGGTGGAGAGGACGGAAGTACACCCTAAAAGGTTTCCAGAAGGAGACGTGAGACGCAGAGTTTGGAATCTAATACAGTACTTCAGATGAAAGATGATAAGGTCTGAAACAGAGCAGACACCATGGAGTGGTGCAGGGGAAATTGCCCCAGACGGAGACTTAGCAAGACTGGAGACCTTCCAGCACAGGGACGGAGGAACACAAGACCCTCAAGCATGGGGAGGGAGGAACACAGGACCCCCGAGCTCGGGGAGCGCAGAACACCGGATTCCCTTGGACCTCACACCCCTGCAGGCTTCCCCCTGCAGCTGCCTCCAGTAGGTGCCGTGGGTGTGGGAAACAGGAGAGAGAGAGATGACGCCGTGGGTGAGAGTCAAACTCGAGGCAGGTGAGCATTCTTGCTTCTGTCGCAGAGGAGTCTTGGTAAATCTCTGCTGTCCTTGAACAGTTACTAACAATGCCTCTACTGCATTCTCAAAATCTTTCCAGTTCAGAACAATATATGTTCTCCGTACCTTTAACCAGGGAACAGACTTCAGGAACCAATTTCTTTATGTAGGAGATGTGTATGCTATTAGGCACAGAGATAGCAAGGTGCCTACTGTCCATCCAAGTCCATGGAATGGGCAGAGGCACATTTAGAATTCACAGGTGTGTTGTTAGCCGAGGAAACCAGAAATTAGGATGACAGCATGCAGAAAGCAGAATATAGTCCAAGAAAGCCTTGTTGATGGCGTTGGTTTTCTCTCATAGTCAGTTGGAGGTAAATTTTGCCTCAGCTGTCGTGAGAATGATCTTCCACCTGTAAGTGCCATTACAGAGTTTTAAAAGACTGAAGTGTTTTGCCCTGGAGTGGAATACCCACAGTTTCCACTTTCCAAATTCATTTAAATCCAGATTATACATCAATAATCATAAATATTTTTATTCTATATGAAAGATGTGCCTATAGCACATTTTAGTTTCTATTATTTTCCTACACATACTAGAATAATTGAAATTCTATCTAAAAAGAAGCTTAGAGTTCCTATTGTTTAAACCTTTTACTACTTGACAGAGAGGAAGTCAAGATCCCGGAAAGTGAAACTCCTTGTCGTCCCATTGCACTGTGAGAACGCTTTATTAGCTTGCTTGCTTTCCACCATAAATAAATGAAAGAACAGGTTATTTTCTACCTCCATAGGGTATTTTTGGCTGTAACTAACAGAAGAGCCAACTAAAAACCGAAAGTTTGGGGGATACCTTATTTTAGATAACAAAGGGGCAGAGTCAGGGAGCTTCCAGGTTGTATTCAGTAGCTCCGTGATAGCATTGCAGCTCAGGTGTTTGACATTTTTCCTGCCCCCTCTCTAGAGCGGAGACAATATTTCCCCTCAGTTCTCAAGACGTCTGCAACCACCTGAGGCTTTAGTTCCCGATTTGGTCATGTTTAATGAAATGAGGCATGTTTGGCTAGAGATGGAAGACATATTTCCTAGAATTTGTCTGCTGAGTTCCTTCATATCCCATTGCGTCAAATGCCTGTGGTCCAATTGCCACGGAGCCAAGGAAAGAAATATCTAGAAGCCAGGAAGAGGAGCCGACGGTTAGTGTATGGTGACCAGTGATATCCATCACATCCAGGCAAGCCAGACACCAAGGAAAGAGGTTGGAATTAACACTAGTATATCTTTTGCATATGATGTGATTCCAATCACAGTATCTTCCTTTTACTTTAGTTTTATGGCTAACATCCATTAAAACTCATGATGTATGTTCTTTGATTTCTTAAAGTGGACTTTTAAACTTGTCCAAAACATAAAATGACCAGTAATGAATTTAGGCAGCTTGGGTTTATACAATTCTCTTCTCTCCTTTTAGAAGTTTATTTTTTCTCTCTCATCTTTGTGTACACTTATGCAGACATTGTATATATTTTCTTGATTGTGAGGACTTAATAATTAACACATTAAATTTCAGTTATTTTGTGTTATATTGCTTCAGAAAATTATTTGCCCTTTGTCATTTATCTCGGAGAAATGTTCAGAGAAGAAACAAGGTATTCCAGGTTGACATACCCGCACAACCAATACTCTTAGCAAAGCACCACTTAGACACCTGAAGGCATCTCAATTAAGCAGAATTACCATCCAAATTAAGCAGCAGCCATTGCCATTAAGTATAATTAGGCTTAATTTGATTCCTTGGGAGACATTCCAAGTAAGTGGGTTTCTCAATTAAGTGCACGTTGATGAAAGTGTATTACGTATTGAACATAAGAGAAAAGAGAAACAGTTACATAAAGTTTCCATGCAATGACTCTTGCCAGAAGCATCAGTGAAGCATTTTGGATGTGAAGAATTTGCATACTTCAATTTGTGTGTTTGACCTGGTCTGCAAACTTTAAGAAATAAGATAGGACAGAAAAGCAGTTTCCGACGCCAATTCTCTCTTAGTCAATACAAACTTCTCTTTTTTTGAAACATTTAATCCTCTCTTGATTCATACTCTTTCCTAGTCTTATCTCGGCTTTGACTGTTGTATAACCAAGTGCTGCCATGGTCAGTTTATTGCAAGTATTTATGTAAAACTCCTCATGCAAAATAATTACTTGCGGAATCTTAGCATCTCCCTAATAATGCACATCACATGTTATCATGCTATATCATGTCAAAAGGAACACGAAATATCTATCGTTAGAAAATCTAAAACTTTTAGAAGAAACTAGCATTTTCTATTCAGGAAGTTATAAAATGAAAGGCCTCTCAAGAAGATTCCTTTAGTGGAGAGGCAGATTTTTAAACAATTGGAACAGCTCATACCAGGGTATTCTGGTAGAAAGTCAATGCAAAGTAATATTATATGATATGTATAAATATGTTTTATTGTAGACACATTTGACAATCCAGCTATTTTCAGAACTCTTGATGAGTCCTGCAATCAGAATTCTTGAAAAAGTAATATATATTGTGAGACATGTGTTATAGTAATTAAGATAAAATTCTCTCAAAAGTTTATCCCTGGGGTCTTCATTGGAAAGTTTAAATGTATCATGAAGGACCTACCTTCTACTGAATAATTTTATAAAGTTTATCCCCAGGGTCTTCATTGGAAAGATTAAATATATCATGGAAGACCTGTCTTCTACTAACATCTTTTAGGTATAAATGTATGCATGCATACATATATATATGTGTATATATATATGCATAGATAAACACACACACCTATATATACACATATACAGTATATCAGCTGGAATGAGAGGTGTGTGTTCTAAGTTAAAAGTTTCTGTTATATAGCTCTCAAATACATATAAAGATAAATACATTGATATACACACACATTTTAAATACATTCTGTGGTGACATAATTTCAGCTACTGATTCTAATTTGAGCTTCTTGTGCAATACTTTTGTTGCTATTAAAGCTCATTAAAAACTCTGAGGATTTAAAAAACTCAAAACGTTAGTACATCTTACTGATTTGTTCTTTGTTTAGTTTTCTTTTTCTTTGTTTCCAGCTTTATTGATGTATAATTGACAAAAACTGTACAGACTCAAGGTGTATTATACAAGCACAATGAAATATTACTCAGCTATAAAAAGAAGGAAATTCTGCCATTGACAACAGCACACATGGATCTGACAGGTGTTCTGATGAGTAAAACAAAATATGTGAAACTTTGATTAGGGAAATAAATACTCAAACATCCACAACAATTGTTTTGTTTGGCAAGTGAACATCAGTACTTTATAACCCTCAAAAAGACTTTCATATGAATTTTCAAGTATTTAATTATAAGTTTGTTTTATTATATATTTATAATGGAAATTATAAAATTATTTTTAAACATATTAAGTAAATCAATACTCTGAAGCACATGTAATTCTAATAGTGGCTTCTGTCAGTACCAACTTTTCTAAGGCATCAGATGAATTCCCACAAATGCTGGATGCCTGCACAGTCATTGGTGGGTTTCCATCTCCGGCGTCCATGGGGATGTCAACACATGTGTGTGATGATGTGTGGAAGGAAGAAGGAGAGTGATGAGGATAAGGAGTCCAACTATATAATGAGAAAGCAGAATCATTTAATACAGCAAATAGTGACGGATCTGCAGAGGATGTTCAAGAAAGGCAAGTAGCAGAGGGTGTGAGGGAAGGGGGCAGAGAGGTCTCAGAGGATGTGGAGGAAGGTTGGACGTTCCAGAAATTCAGAGAGGGGAAATAACCAGTCTTTCTGTACAGTTGCATTGCTTGGGAATATTGTCGGTAAACAAGGCTGGGAATTTGAGCTGATACCAGATGATAGGTATTATAGGCTTTTTCTTTCTCCCTTTCCTTCCTTTCCCTTCCCTTTCCTTCCCTTCCCTTTCCTTCCCTTTCTCTTTCCCCTCCCCCATCCCCTTCCCCCTCCCCTCCCTTCCTTCCTTTCTTCCTTTTGTTGTTTTTTATTTACTTTTTATGTCTTCATTTATATTTTTATTTTTATTTTATTTTTAAAACTTTTATTTTAGGTTAAGGGATACACATGCAGGTTTGTTATATAGGTAAACTTGTGCCATGGTGGTTTGTTGTACAGATTCATCACCCAGGTATTAAGCCCAGTACCCAACAGTTGTTTTTTCTGATCCTCTGCCTCCTCCCACCCTGCACCCTCCAGTAGTTCCTAGTGACCATTGTTTCCCTCTTTGTGTCCATGTACTTTCACCATTTGGTGCCCACCTAGAAGTGAGAACATGCAGTATTTGGTTTTCTGCTGCTGCGCTAGTTTGCTAAGGATACTGGCTTCATCCATGCCCCTGCAAAGGACAAAATCTCATTCTTTTTATATGGCTGCATAGTATTCCATGGTATACATGTACCAATTTTCTTTATCCAGTCTACCATCGATGGGCATTTAGGTTGACTCCATGTATTTTCTATTGTCAATAGTGCTGCAATGAACTTATACCTGCATGTGTCTTTATGATAGAACAATTTATATTCTTTTGGGTATGTACCCAGTAATGGGATTGCTGAGGCAAATGGATTTCTGTCTTTAGATGTCAGGAATCACCACGCTGCCTTCCACAAAGGTTAACCTAGTTTACACTCTCACCAACAGTGTATAAGTGTTCCTTTTTCTCCACAACCTCACCAGCATCTGTTAAATTCTGACTTTTTAATAATAGCCATTCCAACTGGTGTGAGATGGTATCTTATTGTGGTTTTGATTTCCATGTCTCTAATGATCAGTGATGTTGACCTTTTTTTAATATGCTTCTTAGCTGAATGTATATATTCTTTTGAAAAGTGTCTGTTCATATCTTTGCCCACTTTTTAATGGTTTTTTTTTCTTGAAAATCTAAGTTCTTTTTCAATAAACCTTCACATCCTCTATGGACAAAGGGAGGTGAGGTGGGTTGGGTGTACCGGGGCTGAGCACACTGACAGCACACCAGGAGGGGCTGGTGGAGGTGCAGGAGGAGCGGTACGGTGGTCCCTAGGTACAGTGGTGCCTAGAGTGAAGGGATGGCTGTATGTCCTGGGTCCGTTCGTATTTCCTTTTGTATTAACTCTATCCACCTTTAAATTTTGTTGTGAGGAATATGTAATCGATTTAAAGCACCTAGAATATTATTTGCCAAATACTAAGTCCTCCACCTTCTTGTTATTCTTTTCTTCAACTCTTCCTCCTCATCCTCCTTTTTCTCATCCCCTTCCTCTTCCCTCTCCTCCTCCTTTTCCTTGTCTTTTCTCCCCTTTCCTTTCTCCTCTCTTTGTTGTTTGCCTCCTCTCCTCTTTCTCTCCTCCATCTTTTCCCTCTCCTTCTTCTCCGCCTCCTTCCCTTTCTGTTTATTTTAAATGACTAGGGTCAGAAAGATATAAACAGGGTCCCGTATGACAGGCAAAGAGTTTATGTTTTATTCTCAAAGGAAATGGGGTGTCAATGTATTATATTGATGAAAGGAATGGCATGAGAATGCGTATACGTTGGGAAGATTGGTCCGCATCACGGATGGCACAAAACTGGAAGCAGGAAAATCTAGAGCCTTATTCTAACTATGAAAGATGATATGAACCTAAATCAAGATGCTTGCATGTCATTTGGGGAGAAAAAAAAAACAATATATTTGAGAGATATCTCAGGGTTATGTAATTAGTCACAGCAATTTGTGTTTTTACACTACACGTTTCTTAATGAACAACTGCTAGTAAATAAGAAAAATTTGCTTTAAACTTAATGCTTGCAAGAAAATCCTGATATGTTTATCAGATCTGTTTTAGGGAAGGAGCTTTAACTTCTTTTATGATTCAATGGTTTTTTTAAAGAACTTGAATTAACAAATTCAGAGAGATGAAGAAGAGGCATTCACTTGCATTTGAAGTATTAAAAGGTTAACATAGAAACCTATGTTGTATATATTGGTTTAAGACATTTTGAAATGTGATTGGAATAGATATGGTTCAGTAGACTTTATTAAGGAGGCGATTCACGGATTGGTGGAGAAGTAGAGATTAGACACACCACCCTTTCCTATAACACCGAAGGGAGCCTCCCCATTATTCAATCAGACCTTTCCCCGTGCAAAGACACAGTGGCTCCACCAACTGCCCTGTTCACTTTTCTCCCATGCCACTGGGGAAAGGAGGACGCCTGGCCAACTTGCTTTGACAGATCCCTTAGTTCATCTTGGCTGTCATCATTAATCTATCTATCTGTCTATCTCTCTATCTATCTATCTGTCTATCTATGTATCTTTCTTTCTTTCTTGATCTCTCTCTTTTTTTTTTTTTTTTTTTTTTTTTTTTTGCTGTCTTGCACTACAGAGTTAAGTAAGAGTATTTTTTTTCAATATTTATTTTAAGTTCAGGGGTCCATGTGCAGGATGTGCAGGTTTGTTACACAGGTAAATGTGTGCCATGGTGCTTTGCTTCCCATCACCTAGGTATTAAGCCCAGCATTCCTTAGCTATTCATCATTAATCTTATGGCGTTGATCCATGATTGTGTCCTTGTCAACTCTCCAACATATTTGTCTCTGTGTGCCAGCTATTTCATTGTCTATGACTTACCCGTTACTGCTGCTTAACAGTTGCAACTTTTTTCATAAACTGAGTTTGGTTTTGGTGACTACTTCCCTCTCACACCTCTGTCATCACCCCTTTCAAGATCGATTGTGGTTTTTTGGGTTTTTTGTGTGTTTGGTTGGTTGGTTTTTCTGCCACAAGGGCACGTACATTCTCCACTTTCTGCTGGATTGATTTTCTTATAACACCTCAGTTCTTAACTTTCAGAACTAAATAGATTTATTTTTACTGCCTCCTCTTGGAGCTGAGAAATAAAATGGAGAACAAGGGCCATGCTTTTGATTTGCTTGCAAACATGTATTATACACACACACACACACACACACACACACACACAAATATACTGTGGAGCCAGCATTTCTAAGAAGACTAATCCCTTATCAGTGTACAACGTAAAGTGTTACAGAGGTAAAGAATAACAGCACAGCTGTAGACAATAGACTTGCAACTATTTAGCAGGTGTGAGTGAATGAATGTCTAGGTTTGTGTAGGAGTTATTTATGGACACTGAGGACGACAAAACATTCAAAAAACATCCTGGGAGAAAAGTTTACAGGATTTACTCCGTTTCTTTTTTTTCTTAATAAAAGTTGCTTAAGTTAGGGAAAAGGAAAAAATTCTAGTATTCAATAGTAGAGTAGGAAAATTATAGTTAATGATAATTTATTATATATTTCAAAATAGCTAGAAGAAAATAATTTCAATCTTCCAAACACAAGGAAAGATACATGTTTGAAGTGATGAGTATTCCTGTTACACTGTTTGGTCATTATGCATCATATACATGTACCAAAATATCACGTGTACCCCCAAAATATATACAACTACAAATCAAAATAAAAGTAGCTTAAAAAGACAGAACTTTAATGATCGTATACTCAGAATGTACCCAAAAGAATGAACATTAGTATTCATGAAAAATAGGTTTAAAAATATGTTGGTGTGTTTGTCTGTTTTTGTTTTTTTGAGACGGAGTCTAGTTCTGTCACCTAGGCTGGAGTGCGATGGCATACTCTTGGCTCACTGCAACCTCCGCCTCCTGAGATCAAGAAATTCTCCCCCTTCAGCCTCCCGAGTAGCTGTGATTACAGATGCCTACCACCACACCTAGCTAATCTTTGTATTTTTACTAAAAACAGGGTTTCACTACATTGGCCAGGCTGGTCTCGAACTCCTGACCTCATGATCCACCCGCCTCAGCCTCCCAAAGTGCTGGGATTACAAGTATGAGCCACTGTGCCAGGCCAGGTTAAAAAATGTTTTTACTTGTGTTTTTGTTTTGTTTTTTTGTGAGTAAGAGGTGTGTATTTATATGGTTTAAGATACAGGGAGGTGTAAATACCTATTTTCTTTGGAGCTCAGTTAGTTTTACAGGTCTTAGATGTGGTCCTTTTTTTTTTTTTTTTTTTTTTACCTTTTAATACGTTACCTATTTTATGCATTTGAACTTTTTTTTACAATTTTTCTCATTTTTAGTATTTGTCGTACTTAAATACAATAGTAATGATATGAGTAACAACAAAGCAAAACCTTTTATATTCAGCAATTGTTTAAATTACACACTTTTAGATAACTGGGAAGGAGTGTGAGAAAAGTCACTAAAATCCCGGTTTGTGCGGAGATGTCACTTTAGAAGGAAGACATTAGAAAACAAACAAAAAACCCAACTAAATAAAACGTAGTCACACAGTGCCAAATACATTAGGACAATGAAATAGGGGGAAGAAATAAATTCTTGAAAATATTTATAAAATGAAGAAAAATTACAACCCTGTATAATTCCTCCCACCCAGATCATGACCAAGCAAAGAATGGCATTGCATTCTAAATGCTTCTACTTTCTCTTTGACTTCATATTATCTTGTGAAGAGTTTTGGGCTAATAGAATGCAATTAAAAATAATTACTAAATGGATGGTTTGGTTTTTTTTTTAACTTTTAAGTTCATGGGTACATGTGCAGGTTTGTTAAAAGGTAAACTTGTGTCATGGGGGTTTGTTGTACAGATTATTTCATCACCCGGTAAATAAGCCTAGTGCGCCTTAGTTGTTTTTCTCGATCCTCTTCCCCCTCCCACCCTCCACCCTCCAATAGGCTCCGTATTATTATTATTTTTAACCAATCAGTTGTTTAACATGTAACTCTTTGTGATTTTTTTTCATTATTAACTATAATAGTGTCTTTAAATTCCCAGTGGATAAATTGTTTCACAGATCCAGGATATTTGCCTTCAGAAAAATTTCTAGAAATAAAATTTTACTGAGTTAAAAAAATAAGCATATTAAGGGAGAGTTTTAAGTGGGGAACTTTTGATTTTGCCAAGCAGGCTAAAATAAATTTTGGATTGCTGTGGCACTCATCTGTGTTCAACCTTAATGTGTGTGTGTGCATATATATGCTGTGAGTATGTGTATGTGCACGTGTGTGTGCATGTGTGTTTGTGCATGTGTGTGTATGCATGTGTGTACGTGTGTGTGTGTGCATGTGTGTGTGTGTCCCATTAGCAATACTGACCAAGATGCAGATAGAGGAAAGGAGGGTTCCCAAGTCTTTCTAGATTCTAAAACTCTCTCATCAGTTGATGTTTTGTGGCCTCCATGCCACTAGAGTTCCTTTAACAAGTATGATACAAATCTCTATTCTACATCATTATTTTAACATTCACTTTCCATCTTTCCCCACCTACTACTGTATTATTTACAGTGGATTTTTTTTTTTTTTGTGGGTTGGATTTTCTTTTCCCTCATATGGTTATGTTCATCTGTAAGAAGGTACCGAATTTTTACTCTAAACCTGCAGAGTGTTTTATGAGATGGGTGGTAGTGATGTGTAAAGTCAGGACTCCTCCTTCACAAAGTTTCTGACGTAGCAGATAAGGCAAGCCCTGCAGTGCACACAGGCACACGCAGCTCACGGGAGATCATCTGCATCCCTCGCTTATGCAGAAGCCTCTGGGCATGGCTTCCTCTGTCTGTGAATGCTAGCCCCTGCCTTCCTGGAGGGCCATACATTTCTCCTTCCTCAGTGACTAACTTTATAGATACTACTTTTTTTTCTTTTTCTGTTTTTAATTTTACTTGTTAAATTTTTTAAAGCGGGTATATGTCCAGTTTTGTCACATGGATACACTACATCGTGGTGGGGTCGGGGCTGGTAGTACACCCATCACCTGAATATCAGCATGGTACCCAATGTGCAATTCTTAAGCTTTACTCTCCTGCCTCTCTCCTCACTTTCGGAGTGACCAGTGTCTGTTGTTGCCATCCTTATCTCCATGTGTACCCATTGTTTGGTTCCCATTTATAATCGAGAACATGTGGTATTTGACTTTCCATTTCTGCATTATTTTACTTAGGATAATGACATTCTGTTCCATCCATATTGCCAAGAAATGTATCATTTTATGATTGTGTGGTATCCATGGTGTAAAGATACCGCATTTTCTTTATCTGATCAACCATTGTTGGACACTTAAGTTGATTCTATGACTTTGCTATTGTGAATAGTGTATAATGAACAGAGGAGTGCGGGTGTCTTTTTCGTAGAATGATTTCCTTTCCTTTGAGTAGATACCTAGTAGTAGAATTGCTGAGTGAAGTGGGAGTTCCAGTTTTAGTTCTTTGAGAAACTTCCATACTGTTTTCCATAGAGGCTTACTCATTTACATTGCTACCAATAGTATTTGCTTTCTGCACATCCTTGCCAACATTTGTTATTGTTTGACATTTTAATAATAGCCATGCTGACTGGTGTGAGGTGGCATCTCACTGTGGTTCTAATGTGTATTTCTTTGATGATTAGTGATGCTGGGCATTTTTTCATGTGTGTATTCACTGCCTGCCGTTTTATTGCTGTTAAATAATGAGTGGTCACTGTAATTTTCACTGCCCATTGGGATGCTCTGTGAATCTGGATTCTAAATACAACGTGAGGCGTCTGTAACATGGAAGTAAATAGGAACTGGAAGAATCAATCAGTAAATGGTGATGAAATTCTACAAAAGACCCTTTACCCTAAGCCATTGTGTTACAGAAGGATAAATGAAATTGCTTTCTCTAGCTCGATAGGGTCAAATCAAGGAGATATATAGCCAAAAAAGTTCTCCTGAAAGGCTGCTAGTGATAATTAGGTTCCACTAATTTATGTCAAAAAGTACCCTGAGAGAAATTCATGGTTTCCATGAAGACAGTAAAAGACAATAGAAATATCTAGGTTTTTATATCATCCCGCCATCTCATTCCCCCTTTTCTCTAGCCTTTCCATTCCTTCTTCCTCTCCCATTCATTTTAAGAGTCATTTATAACTCAGAGGAGCTGCCTTTTCTCAAATACATGCTTTCAAGGTCTAGGTTTCTTCTAGGGCACTAATACAGCATGAGAAGAATCAGTCTGGAGTTCACAGACCTGGGATCCCATCTTGACTTTGCCCATTTTGCAGCTATTTCATCTTAGAAAAGACACTGAAATTCTTGACTCTCAATGTCCTCATATGCCATATAACTGTGGTGATGATAATGATAGGTACCTTCACTAATGGTATCATTTCTGTGTTTCTCAGAGAAATGATGCATGTGGAAATGCTTCTAAGTAATTAACAGTACTACTGTTAATATTATCCTTCTATTAATATAATTTCTTCTTTGGACCTTGAATTTCTTTGCATTCCATTATTTCAAGGGCTCTTCCTGTGCCTTACAGAGATAAGTTATATAATCAACTTTGCTGAACCCAGCACTACAAGTTCGAATGGGTCCTGGAATCTCTGGGTGTCTTTTCTAGTGAACAGATCCAGAAAAAAATCAATTGTCTCTCATTCACCAAATTCCCTCCACACTAAATCCCTTACGCTGGCCACTCATCTTGTTAGGAAATCCAGAAAACCCACCTTCATTCCGCACGGCTTTCCTCCTCTGTCACCTCCAGCTGAGCAATAATTCCTTCACCTCTTGAATATCTTTTGTCTTCAACCCCTCTTCCATTCTCACTGTGTCCACTCTAGGGGCCTCTTAGTAGTCTTGCCATATGTTTTGTTTTAATCCCTCATAGCTGTTTGTCTCTCCTCACTCTCCATTTTCTAATTTATCTTCCACAATAAATTTGAAATGTACTTTTCAAAAATGTAGATATATGTATAAAATACAATCAATATGTGATCATTATTTTAAACATGATATAATACAGTCAAATACGAAGCAGAAAGTGAAGACCTTGAAATGCTTTAATCTCAAGATAATCAGTGATTGTAATTGTGGGTACTTATTTTTAAGACTTGTATCTCTGTGTTTATAAACACAAAAACCCAATTCTTTTCCTTTATCATCTTCCATTTTTCCTCTTCCTTCTCCTCCTCGTTCTTCTTCTTCACGGTGCCTTTAAATTTTAGATGATGTTCCACACATTTACAGGTTGCTTGGCAACGTTACAATATGTTGCGTATATTCCCAGATGAACTTTATTATTTGTTTTGGCTACTTAGTATTTCTTCCCATCAGCTTACTCCTTTAAACCTCTGTTCAGACCATGCCTAGTCTTTGAAATCACAAACAATCATTCCATGGCGATCTTCATGTTCACACCAAGGGCAGTTATTTCCATAGGACAAATTCTTTGAATTGGAATTATGGTAATGTTGTTGCACATTTGAAATATTGATACTTATTGCCCAAACACATACCATATGCTAAAAGAGAGCTCATGGAAGTTCCTGCCACAGGGTACACACACCTGTATTTCAACAGCGTTGATAGCAAAGTTAAAATCAGAGGATGTTATTCTTCAGCATAATATCCTTCAACACTTCTCCATGGTCCTTTACATGTCACCAATCTTTCATGACAGGTCACCAGACCACCACGGCAGTCCCACTTCTAGTCATTTATCTTTTCATTCCAATTCTGCCGTCATACTGGGCTACTCTGGGACCTCGAATCGTGGTGCTGCCCCAGGACGCTTTCCTTTTCAGACACCTTGAGCAACTACAGGGCGGCAGGTGAACATGGGGTACTACTGAGACACCATTCATCATTGGAGGAGTGGACACGAGGTGCTATTGAGGCACCATTCATCATTGGAGGAGTGGACGCGGGGTACTATTGAGGCACTATTCATCATTGGAGGAGTGAACACGGGGTACTACTGAAGCACTATTCATCATTGCGGGAGTGGACACGGGGTACCATTGAGACACCGTTCATCATTGGAGGAGTGGACACGGGGTACTATTGAGGCACTATTCATCATTGGAGGAGTGGACACGGGGTACTATTGAGACACCATTCATCATTGCAGGAGTGGACACGGGGTACCATTGAGACACCGTTCATCGTTGGAGGAGTCGACATGGGGTACCATTGAGGCACCGTTCATCATTGGAGGAGTGGACATGGGGTACTATTGAGACACTATTCATCATTGCAGGAGTGGACACGGGGTACCATTGAGGCACCGTTCATCATTGGAGAAGTGGACACGGGGTACTACTGAGGCACCATTCATCATTGGAGGAGTGGACACGGGGTACTACTGAGGCATCATTCATCATTGGAGGAGTGAACACGGAGTTCCATTGAGGCACCATTCATCACTGGAGGAGTGGACACAGGGTACTATTGAGGCACTATTTGTCATTGGAGGAGGGGATACGGGGTACTACTGAGGCACTATTCATCATTGGAGGAGTGGACACGGGGTGCTATTGAGGCACCATTCATCATTGGAGGAGTGGACACGGGGTACCATTGAGGCACCATTCATCATTGGAGGAGTCGACACGGGGTACTATTGAGGCACTATTCATCATCAGAGGAGTGGACACGGGTTACTTCTGAGGCACCATTCATCATTGGAGGAGTGGACACAGGGTACCACTGAGGCACCATTCATCATTGGAGTAGTAGCACACATTCCACAATGTTTTTGCAAACCAACAAACTATTTATTTAGGGAGTTGACCGTATAACTTATTATCTGATCCAAATGCTGAACCAATGGCATTATTACCCTTAAGTTACCTTTGGAGTAAAGGGTGATAATGCTATTAATAATCAACCTAGAAACAACCAAAGACTCTATCTGTCCTAGGCAAACCAAAACCTGTGTCACCTACTAGGGGACTAAGGGGAAAGTATCCACAGGTAGAGGAAGCTGTGATGTGTTTTACTGTGGAGAGAATTGTAAAATGATTATCTCCATGCTCCAAGCATTTCCGCAGAAGGCAGGAGATAGGGCCTCAAAGCAGAGGAAAGAAAGCCTCAAGCAGTGAGAGGCTGTTGGGGCCAATTCAGGACTTGCTCACCTCTAAAAGGAAACACTGTGCCTCTTTTTAAAGAGTGTTTGTTTGTTTCTTAATGGTGCATAATGAGACATGTTGTTTAAATTATCTTTTCAAGGAAGCCTATGTCTAAAACCTCTTTGAATTTCCAGTCTTGTGCACAGCGTTTGGCAAATAGTGAAGACCCATAAATGGTCACGAATAAATGATAGTAATAATGGCCAAGTTTGGAATGTTTTACCCCACTAGAGAGGCAGCGATGGTCTGCCATAATTAAAGGTCTTTTGTTAAAAATAGGTACAGCTGTCTCCAAGCCACGAATCCCACAAATCTACATATTATTTGGGTCCTAAAAATGGCCAAATATGTTGTACTAATACATATCCAGAGAAACAAAACATTATTTTCATAGAAGTGTCTTCTGAATGTAACACACAAAATATATTTGTGGCAGTGAAGCTCAGTCGTGGGTAATATTTGGAATGGATTTGGCCGCCTGTATTGTGTTCCATTGCACTTGCCATTCTGTGTTTTTTGACAGTGCCATTACCCTGCAGTTTCCACCAAAGTGCAGATTACAAAGAGGATACTGCAAAGGACTGGGTGCTGGGTTCTGCTTGACTTAGCAGTTCTCTAAGTGAGGCTTTATGTGTGTGTTTGAAAACTGCATTTGTGACCTGATGATTGTTTTTGTGGCTTTCCTGTGAAGTACGAAGTGTGCTGAGATCTGTCCAGAGGGGGTAAGCCCTATGGCAGTGAAGGGAGAGGGGCATCCACCAAGGTCGCCTCTTTTGGCAGTCTTTCTATGATCAGAGGCTGAGCAGCTAGGCTTGAAAGCTAATAAAGCTTTGAGAGAGGAGAAGTTAAATGTTAAGTCATACTTTTCATTTAAAGGTGCTTACAGTAGAGAGACGCAATTACCATTATCCTCGTTAACAGGTGGCACAGGCAGCCCCCACGACAATGTTTTTGTACCAGCCCTAAAGGCAATGATAGAGTGATATTGAACTTTTCCATTTCTGAAAGAGAGAGAGGGTGTGTGTGTGTGTGTGTGTGTGTGTGTGTGTGTGCGTGTGAAAAAGAAGTTTGTATTTTGTTTGATAATTTTGGCTTAAGGACTGAACAAATTATCTCAACCCACAGGATCCCTCATAAATTCTTTGTGTGTGTGAATATATATATATATATATATATTAATTATTATAAATTTTAAAAATCTTTGTGGGTAGATAGCTAATAAAATCAATTGAACTCATGGACATAGTAGAAGGATGTTTATCAGAGGCTGGGAAGGGTAGTGGGGGTTGTAGGGAGGTGAGGGTGGTTAATGGGTACCAAAAAACATGGAAAGGATCCCTCCTAAATTCTACTGTAACAAACAAAAGTCTTCATAATTAAGTGTTACATGTTTATAAAATCCACTTAGGAAATTGATGATTCTGAATAGTTCCTCTGTTTTGTGCTGCTGGGTTTTGTGAGGAGTCTTATGTAGTTAGTGGAATATGGAATAATACATACTTAAGAACATCTAGAGCGAAAAGTTAATGTCAAATTCCTCTATATTCTATTTGTTCTGTCCTTGAATGGGATTGAAATCACCAGTTTTAATAGTCTGTCATTTAACATTGGGAGAACCAGAGCTATTCAAATATTTGCTTTCTGGGAGCTGTTTTAATATCACATTTGACTGACTTCTGGAACCCTAAACAGTATTATTAAAATGCTCCACTATGTATATTTCATAGAAAAACTTTTGGCACCGAAGATTTTGTCTATAACCATACAACTGTCTGCCTAACCATACATCTATCTAACTATCTAAAATTAGAGATACAGAATGAAATGAATGGGAAATGAACAGAAAACTCAAATATGATAGACACATATTTTATTTTTATGCACCCTCACATTTAAGTTATCAGATTCAAGTGTACATGTACTTCCATATTTACTTTAAATTTATATGTAAAATAAGTTTGTTCTGTAGAATTAAAGAAAATGAGCTAAACTTACACAAAAGCTTCAGTGAAGCAAGCGTTTAAGTTCACCCAGCTGTGGAATTTTTGCAAATGGGGCTCAGTGCATAGAATTTAAACCTGTCAGCATCCCACTTCACCTCCACCTTCTGACCTGCCAGGGCCACCTGACCCCACCAGCCCTCATCAGGAAGAGCAGGTGGGATGATTTGGCTAAATTCTTACAGCGTTCAGACTGTCATCATCAATGACCACACCAGAAATACCCTGAACGTGTCCCAAGAACAGAATGAAAACCTCTGTGAGCCTCAGTATTGAAATACTGCCTAAATCATCCCATTGGCTTCATGACTCCTAGCTAAATGCCCTGTCACATTTCACAAGCACTGCTCACAAAAGCTCCCGTCCATCTTTCCCTACACCTCCCAGACACATTTCTCCCCATTCTGCTTGTTTTCTGGCCTAGGTTTTGCTCATAATTTAATAGCGCCTGCCAGGGTTTGCCTGTCACGGGTCCTACGGCTGCACTTGCCGAGGGCTCTCCTGGCTCCTTAGCCTTCCCTGGCGGAGGACTCCTCACGCACAGTCTTCTTCCCTTCCTCCTCAGCTTATGTGGTGTTTCCTGCTTCTGACAAGAGCCCAGGTGTCTGGGCTTCTCTTTAACACCCCTGACCCACTTGCCCTGTGTGGCTGCTTGCCAGGTTACTGTTGAGTTTCAGTGACACTCTCACCACTGCAGGGGGCTCCCTGCCTGCTGGCTGTTCACACAGCACTCTTGGCCTGCCCAGACCCAGCTCACTTGACACACTGTTGAAATCTCTTCTGCTTACTTTGTAGATTTACTCCCTCCCCCGCTCTGAAGTATTGACCCTCTGTGGAAGTTCTGAAGCTCTCAACATTCTGATTAACAAAGCCAGGCTGAGAAAAAAAACTCTAACAAGCTCAAGAAAACTAAGGTGCTGCCATTCATGGGCTATTTCTCCCACCTGCTCAGATCCTCTTTGGCCTGGCCATGCTGTGCCTTGTTAGAGGGGCTGTAGCTTCTTCATGGCTTCCAACAGAGCAGGAGCTGGGGGTACCAATTATCTCAATTCCACATTTATGTGGCCTTGCTTCCCTTCCACCCTCCCTTCCCCTCAATGTGGGGTGTCTGTGACCCTGTTCTCTGCTCCCCCAGCTCCAGGCTCTCCCCAGACCCCCAGAGGGGGCTTCATTGTCTTCCTCCTCAATCCCAAATTGGTTCACAGCCCTCGCCAGCCAGCAGGTCTTCTGTAGTTATTTCTCACTCTTCTGACTTCATGTTGAACTGGTCTGGACCCATTTAAGATATTCCCTACCACTTCCAAATGTGTTTTCTCATCAGCTTGTCTTTTCACTGTTCTTATAAAGAAAAACACAATCTTTTTTGCCTTAAATGGCTATATCCATTAAAAACTTCTTCTTGTCTACCTTCTTTTTGTGTATGTTTCACTTGTATAAAAGGCATGAGCTTAGACATGCATTAAATACAGTCATGAAGAACGCATAATATAAGCTACGAGCACACACATCCACATCCCATCTTTCAAAACTATAATGTTTACTTATTTTTTTTGAAAAATAAAATCAGTCCTAGAGAAAGCAAATTTCACCCATAATTCCATCACCTAATGTACAAATTACATTCTGTTTTGCCCCATTACGTAGAAGTCTGCCTTTACATGACCATTTAAATATGACTGTTGTGGATATGTATGTGTACGTGTTTGGCATATGTGTGTTTTCAGTCCTTTTCAAGAGTGATACAAATATTATAAATATTCTGTGAAATTATTTGCCTATTTTTCACTTAATAAAACATAAACATCTCTCTAGATTTATTAATTTATATGTCTACTTCACATATTTTAATGTCTTCAGAATATTTGTAACTATGGACCTACTAAAATTGGTTTCCCTATCCCAAGTTAACAAAGAGTCAAGTTGTTTTCAAGATTTTACTGTCATTAGCAATGCTGGGAGGGACATCACAGTTATGGTTTATGTTCTGATAAAAGGTAGAGCTGTAATTGTTGGATATTCCAAGTCTGTGCCACGGCAGCAATCCTGCTTCTACAGTATGGTTGATTTGACGCAGCTGTCTTAGGAATATCTTCTTCAAATTTTTTTCATAGTAGGGAAGAAACTGAGGAACTGAATAGACATAGGATGAGATCATGAATCAGCTGGGTCTGTCACACTCTGTCTGTTTCATGAAACAATTTATCTAAAAAAGGCAGTTAATGACTTCTCAAATTATTATAAAAATTCCTGAAATTGGCTCTCATGTCTCCATTTCACCAAGCGTGTGCTGACGGTGTGCCTGCAGCTCCGAACTATGGCTACATTACTGAAAGCCTACCTAGGTATCTTCTCATAAATCCATGAAGTGATATTACATTGCATTTAGCACAGCCTGAAACTGATGAAAGATATTCAGAGTAGGTCTTTCCTTTCTTTTTTTTTTTCTCCTTGTCCACAATTTATTTTTTAGCTGGTTGGTTGATTGGTTTTAAGAATAATATTTTATTGCTTGAATATATTGAACTCTTCAGTATTCTTCTGCAAAACTACCAGTAATTGACAGACAGTACGTGACAGGTCTAAATATGTGGTGAACTATTTCTGAAATATAAATCTTCTCTGTGTTTTATCAAAAATTATAACAGATTTCCGATCTCCATTAATTATCAAGAAAGTGGAAGAATTTACTTTTGTATTAAACAAGTAAATCTTTTATAACTTAATTTAAAAGAATATAAATTATACAATTTTAAAATTAATGAAAATGGTTCTTAGTCTTCTGTATTAAAAAGCAGAACTGTTCTTGTGTCAATAAAATTCATATAAACTAAAAGCATACTTTACGTAGATAATTTCGTAGTCTAAAACTTCAGACCCAAATGGAGTATATGAACAATGTTGATGTGAATACTCTTGCAACAGAAAGGATCTCTGTAGCATACGCGTTACACTTGAGTCCTCTTAATTCCTTAAAATACCTTATATTTGCATAACCACAATGCCCCCCACCTTATGTTTATCTTGGCTAATCCAATTCAAAAAAACTTTTGAGTCTCTTTAGCAATGTTTTCTGAGATAGAAAGGCAGTTATCACAGGTCAGAGGAAGCTTTATAACTGCCTAACAACAATCCCTTTTAAAAATACACAAATTGTTATGAACTGTTTATTTTAGCATGTAATGCTTACAAAATGTCATGGAGATTTAGTTTTCTTTAATTTAGAAATATGCAAAAAAAAAGAGAATAAGCTGACCTTATTTTTTCATGCCATGTGGATGATGCATATTTAGATTAGTATTCAAGCTTTCTGTGTCGATACACTTTTTTGTAATTTCCTCAGCCCTTTTTTCTAAATCAGAATGTTGTCTTTTCCACAGACAGTACTCTGTTTGTGCAGAAAATCTCACCTCTTTCTCTTAGAAGATGGGATGAATTCAAAGTGCCTCCATGTAAAGGAGATTTTTTCCTCTCATTGTTCAAAGAATTTTACCATTTGTTTTCACAATACAGAACATGCATCTGCAAAATCTCTATTTTTTAAACATTTGCTATGAAACTTCTCGAGTTCCTGTTTCTGCCACTGTGAGATCCCTATCAGTCCTCAGCTCCCACAGTGGCAGCCTCATCTTTCAGTAGCTAAAACCACGTCTGGACTGACACAGGTACCACATGCCACACTCAGCATGATCACATTAAAGACACAGTGGCAGCCTCATCTTTCAGTAGCTAAAGCCACGTCTAGACTGATGCAGGTACTGCATGTCACACTCAGCATGATCACATTACAGAGAACATCATATTATCGCAGCTTGTCACGGACTTTAGTATACAAGTGATATGACAGACTACAATGACTATTTCTCATCATCAGTCATGTCTTTATTACATAGAGTAAGAAACTATACACTGGCTTGGTATTAAATGAGCACCGGAAAGAACATAATGTATCTTCAGAAAAAAAAAAAAAAAAAATATATATATATATATATACATATTTATTAGAAGACAATTCTGAAAAGAGAGCTTTACCAATATAGAAGCAGTGGTTAGGGACGTAAAGGGTCTTATCAAACAGTCACAATAAAAGTTATGTATTTGGTAAAATATGTTCTTTTCTCCTTAGCTGTCAGTGTGCAGATTAGTTAATTCCAGTTTACTGCAACCTAAAGCATTTACCCCCTGCATCTACTCTTAGGCTTAAAACCAATGACTCACAAACTCTAAAGTGTGTGTTGGCTTTCAAAACATTCACATATTGATATAGAGTTTGGATATGACAGTCCTGTAGTACAGAAAATATGCCACAAGATATTAGTTAATATTTCTTGAGAAATTTACATGCTTTAGAAACTTTAAGTAATTATGTTCATTATCTCACTGAATCTTTGAACGCCCTATGCCATAGGCTACATTAGTGTTTCCTTTTTAAAGATAAGAAAACTGAATCACAAAGAGGTCAAGTCTACTCTCTTAACTGCTACCTTGTTCTGCCATGAGCTCTCACAGCATGGTGAGAGTGGCAATTACATTTAGATTTAGGCTGATCCTGACTAATGCATTGCTGGAGAGTTTTGAGAAAGGGGTCTGACTGTTCACTTCAAGTTGAGTAGTGGTTTGTCATCTGATGAGAGAAAAGCAGAGACACATTTGCATGATGCCATACTCCTATTTTCGAGTGGAAGCAGAGATTGGCAACATGGGAATGCATATTGCATACACCCTATTTACCCATATATTTACTCTTCCATCCAACAAGTATTCACGAGGTGCCTGTCTGTGACCCAGGAAGGATGTGGGAATATGTGGTGCAAGCCTGGTTGGCCATGAAGCTTCTTTTCAAGGAGGTGCAAAGTGGAAAATAGGCAAGCAAACAAATAGCAAGATTTCAGGTGTCATAGCAGCTAAGGAAAGCAAACCAGTAAGAAAGGAAACAGCACTAGGCAAAGGGGTGGAGACTGATGAGGTCAGAGAAAGGAACTTAGGGATGATGCACCCATAAGATAAGTGTTTGAGATGCTGGATGTGCTAATCACCCTGAGTGAATCACTACACCTTATATGTATGGAAACATTACTGTGCACCCCATCGATATGCACAGCCGCCATGTGTCAATTAAAAAACTTTTAAAAGATTATATTGAGGGCTGTCTGCTGAGCCATGCCTTGGAGGTTGTGAAGATGGGGAAGGAGGAAGATTGGTCCAGGCGGGGTCAAGGCCCTGGAGTAGGAATGAGTTTGCTGTGTCCAAGAAATGCCAAAAAGGTGGGAATTATTGGAGAAAACAGGAGAGGGCAGCCATAGTGGCCTGGTGACAGGTGGTGAGACATAGGATGTATTCTAAAGGAAGAGACATTGGAATGCCTGCTGATGGGCTGCATATGGGAGAATCGGGATCAAAAGGTGAAGCATGGCTCCTAGATTTTGAGGCCACGTGCATGGGTGATCCCAATGGGACACTTTTTTATCGGCTCTGTGCTTTGCTTTCTTTTTTCTTGCCTTTTACTTAGAATGATTTTCAATATGAAACAAGAAAAATCAGAGTTAAATGTAAGAAGGTGGTCATTAAAACATAAGCAACACATATATTAACTCTTTATGTCTAGATCCAAGATACCTAATTATTTCAATTGCCTGAATTTTCTTTCAATAAATCTGCTTGTTGACTTATTTATTCAAATTACATTTGTTACACTTGGAGCATATGTTACTCCACTGTCTGTTGCTTGTAACAGAATACCTGAAATTGGGTGGTTTATAGAGAAAGGGAGTGTATTATTTACAGTTGTGGAGGCTGAAAACTCAAAGTCAAGGAACTGTATCTGGGGATCGCCTTCTTGCTGGTGGGAACTTTCTGTAGAGGCCCAAGGCAGCACACGGCGTCCAGTGTTGAAGGGGGCTAGCTAGATTTCTCCTAGATTTCTCCCATCATGCTAGCTGAGGTTTCTCCTCCTGTTTTTAAAAAGCCACACTCTCACAATAATCCAGTAATTCATTAACAAATTAATGCATTAATCCATTCATCCATGAATGAATTTATCCATCCAAGAAAGGAGAGCCCTGACGACCCAAGCTATTCTTAATGGTCCCATCTCTCACTGCTGCGACATGAGGGGCTGAGTTTCCATGTGAGCCTCAAAGGCCATAAACATTCAAAGCATAGCCTCCCATCATCAGGCCAGAGTAGAATAAGGCCTAGATCTGTCTATCTGAGACCACTTGGCCTAGAACAGAAGCTGGTGAGCTTGCCTGTAAAGGGCAAGATAATAAATGGTTTAGATTTTGCAGGACACACAGTCACTGGCACACTTCGCCTTTGTGGTCTCCACAACCCTTTCAGAACATAGAAACCATGCTTATGAGGCTTTACCAAGAAAACAGGCACAGACTGGATGTGGACCGTGAGCTGTAGTTTGCAGACACCCAATCTAGAAGCAAAGCAAACATGGAAGCGGGCATCTGCATGGCAATGTGTGGCTCTGAGATGGAGGCTTCAGCAGAGGGAAGTGGGGTTGATATCAGGGATGGCTTCGAGGAGCAGGTCTTCCTTGAAACAAGGCTAGAGGGTGAGGAAACCCAGGTATATTGGGAGGGGTGTCTGCAAGAGCAGAGTTAAGACAGGACAGGCACAGGAACACGCGAGAACTTAGTGTGTGTGACCACCAGGTGAGAAGGGGAGGATGTGGACTCGGGGTAGGGAGCGGGACCCAGCCCAGGGAGCACCCTGCCTGCCCTCCTAGCAAGGGTGGCTTTGCTCTGAAAGGGCTTAGAAACCTGAGAAGGTGGTTAAGCATGAAAACAACTTGGCCGGGCTTACTCTTTAGAAACAACCCAAATTCCTATCAATCAATGAGTGGAAAAAGAAACCATGGTGTGTGTGTGTGTGTGTGTGTGTGTGTGTGTGTGTGTGTGTATGATGGAATACCACTCAGCCGTGAAAAGGGTTGAATTAATGGCATTCATAGCAACCTGGATGAGATTGGGGACTATTATTCTAAGTGAAGTAACTCAGGAATGGAAAACCAAACATCGTATGTTCTCATTCCAAGCAGGAGCTAAGCTATGAGGATGGAAAGGCATAAGAGTGGCAGGGTAGACCTCGAGGACTCAGGCAGAAAGGGTGGGAAGTGGTTGAGGGATACAAGACTACAAACTGGGTGCAGTGTATACTGCTCAGGTGATAAGTGCACCAAAATCTCACGAATCACCACTGAAGAACTCGATCACGTAACCAAATACCACCTGTTCCCCAATTACCTATGGAAATAAAAAATAATAATTAAATAAGCATTTTAAAATAGACAAGGGCTACAGAGAGTGAGGAAGGGCAGAACTGGGCACTGAGATGGCTCCATCAGCCCTTGTGGCTTGAGGAAGGCAAAGGAATCCTAGGTTGCAGGAACCCCCCATAACATTGTTACATGTACCGATAGAGTCATACAGCAATAATTATCAGTGCTCTTCTGAGCACGGTATTTTTTTTGGTGGACCTATTTATTTTGGTCAAAATACTGTCCTACTTTCATGGGGTGGTTACCCCTCTCCAGGAAGTTTATAAACTCATTTCCTTTCTTTTAGTTATTTTTTTCTTTACCATATCCAAATAGGTTGAAGTTGTATCGCAAATTTCTACTTTATGACATCAGGATATGGCATGGTGCATGTAGTAATTTTAGGAGTACTTCTTATTCTTAAAATGACATTTTAAAAAATGACCTAGCGAAATTCCTTTTAAAAAACTTTGTTTGCATGTCTTTAATCATTTTATTTTCTTTTCATAAATCTTAAAGAGCAACAAGAAAAACACAACACATTTCTATTAGATAACTAGCTCAAGCCAAAATAAGATCTATTGTTTTTCATATAGGTAGGCTTAGTAGATTTAACTCCAAAGAAAGGTTGTAGTATATTTAAATTAATATTACTTACAAACCCACTTTATTAACAATACAAAATAGTAAACTTAATATTTAAATAGTAAAGCAATGTAAATAAAAATAAAGCCTAAAACTCAATTTTGTATGAGACTTTGGAAAAATATTTTCTTATTTGAGAGACGTGATCAGGCATAAATATATGCTCAGAAGTTGGAAAACATTACGGACAATCATTGACCTACTGATCCGTTTATACATCTGTATATGTACAAGAAGTAGTGTTTTAAAAACTGAATCAGTTTTACCTCTTCAGTGTGGAAACTAAATGGTTTTGATATTTTTCGACCGTACAAATTTTACATTCTCACTTAGAAACTGAAATAAGCACACATTCATTTCATTTTCTTGTCGAGTATGACTTTCTGTCTTTGTTCTTGGTGCTCATAACACAAGAAGAGGCTTGCTCACTTATTTAAGGCCGAAGTCAAAGCCATGTGGCCCTGTTTTCTTGTGTAAGACAAGGTATTCATCTTTGCCAAGCCCAGAGCTTGTCCAGGAGCCTGTGTGAATGGCAGCATGAGGGTTGGCCAACCTGTAGCCCACGTTATTGGTCCTGCTGTCTAAGTCAGGTCTCCAGCTAAACAGCAGATTCAGAGAAGGGGCCCTGACCAGCCCCACATCTGTGGACAGGAGGGGAGACGCTGTTCAGTTTTGCTCTTCCCTTCTTCCAGGAGGTTTTCAAAACAGCTCAAGACCTCTGATATCCTCCCTCCATCTAAACTCAAGCAGCAGTGGAAACATTTTCACAGTTTCCCTTGCAACATCGTTTTTCCAATATTTCACCTTCCCTTTCATTTCAGTAATAACATCACTGGAAGTAAATGATGTTCTTCAGGGAGCTGCAGAATCCTGTTCAAAAAGTTCATGTCATGAAACACAACTGTGCAGGCTGATTTCTGCAGCTCCTTTTATCTTCAGTAATTCCTACATTGATTGAAGATTTGTCCAGCTGTTTATACAATCTTTACCCATTGATGAGTAATTTTTTTTTGTTTTATAATGTTAATCATTTTGCAGTATTATTCAAAACTTTTGACAATTGCTCAGTACTGTGAGGAGAACAATGTATGGTGACAGTATCAGGATTTTTTTTTTTCTTTTTTTTTGGAGTCTCACTCTGTCACCAGGCTGGAGTGCGGTGGCAGGATCTTGACTCACCACAAGCTCCGACTCCCTGGTTCAAGAGATTCTCCTGCCTCAGCCTCCCAAGTAGCTGGGACTACAGGAATATGCCACCAAACCCAGCTAATTTTTTGTATTTTTAGTAGAGATGGGGATTTCATCATGTTTGCCAAGATGGTCTCGATCTCCTGACCTCATGATCCCCCCACCTTGGCCTCCCAAAGTACTGGGATTTTTTTTTTAATAATAGAGGAAAAATTCACGTGGCCAGCCATTGAGGGCACTATCTGCATAGAACCTTACACAATTTCTCTAAGATGAAGTGTTTTTTTCCATATATGAAGACAAACAAATACATGATGACCTTTGCTTAGTTGAGACACCTATGCACAGCAAAACATATTTTCTTGGATTTTACTGCTATTTACATTTGTTAGCAAGGGCTGTTAAATGTCAACTTGATGGAGAAACTGCATTTTGGTTTATTAGAGAAATCTTTCTCAGTGTCATGTGACTCATCAATATGTTGACTAATTGTTTGGCTTAGGAGCTAAACCTTTCCAGTTTCTCCCACTGCACCCTGTCCTAGCATTCCCCACTATGCATTCACTATAATTTTATTGCTACATCACTAAGTTTGCACCAACTGCTTGACTTTGCTTTTTGTGGCCAATAGACTCTGCTACTAAATAACTTGCTTCCTGAGCCTTTTCACAGAATGTGACTATTTTTTTAACAAAAGCTTATCTGTATTTGAGATTCCAGTAGCCCTTTAAAATAATCAGCACCATTACTTGTCAAATGGCTGTGATTCGCAGTTAAGTGTCCTCAATTTTGCCAAAGGCAGTGTCTGTAAGTTGTCCACCGCTGATGATGCACCTGAATTGCTCAACTTGGGTTACGGCAGTGGAGAGCCCATGATAAGTAGCCTTCATGGTAAAGACAGGATTCATTTGTAGTCTACATCACATTAGAGTGGTGAAATTATACCGAACAGTATGATTCTTTATCACTCACCTCTTCAAAATTGTCTGTAGACCTAGGCCTGGAAAATTTACCTTCTGTTTTGCACCTGCTTTTCAGAAATGGCCACCTTGGACCATCAGACATCACAATGGCTGTTTATGTTTTACAGCTGTTTTGTAGAAGAATATGTTAAGTATTGGAATAAAGCTACCAGTTTATGTAGTACTATAGAGAATTCTAGGGATAAAAGCAACTTTGAAAATCATGAAGACCATGTCCTTCTTTAAATCAGAAAAGTTCATAGACACATACATATATACACATATAGACAGACACATGGAAACAATATTCTACCTCCTGCTCTTTGCTAAGTGTAGAGTCCTTTACTGTAATAGATTGCAAGTAATGACGGAGAAAGAGAGAGACGATCTGCTTTGATACCTGTCCTAGGTTTTATACTTTGTTAAGGTCATGGAAAAGTTTGTATTCAGGAAATACCATATTTGAAATTAACTTTATACTGTCCTGATAAATTTCCCTGAGAGAAATTTCATAAAAGGAACAAAAATGAAGGATCAAGTTGACACATGAGAAAGAAGAGATCTAAGATATTTAAGATACTTTCAGATTAAACATTAAGTTGGTATTAATTCATAGAAATAACCATATTGACATTTTACTTACTATAGCTGTAAGGCATCTTGGACTAGCACGTGTCTTGTCATCTCCTGCTTGTCTTCATATCTTTTCTCATTAGAGAAAAGCAAACAACATTTCTAAGATTTGGCTCCATTCCCTGTCTCCACCCAGCATCCTGGTCTCCCTGAACCCCGTCTAGTCAAGCTTCTGTGGCTCCTGCCCACTGAATAGCTCCAGGCAAGTCTGCAGTGGTGGCCAAGCTGTCAGATTGGACGGTCCGTTCCCAGGGCCCCCGCCTTTGTTACTGGAAAGGGATCCCAATCCAGACCCTAAGAGAGGGTTCTTGGATCTCATGCAAGAAACAATTCAGGGCGAGTCCACAGTGCAAAAGCAAAGGCAAGTTTATTCAGAACGTCAACTGGGAAAGAGCAAGCTACTCCATGGACAGAGTAAGGCGTTCCCGAGAGTAAGAGAAAGAACGCCTCCATCCCAGGTAAAATGCTTGTTCGTATATAGGATGAAAAAAGATCAGGGGAGATGTTCTTTGCTACAAGGGTTTGTGATAAAGGATTAATTTTCTGAATTACTATATTTTGCAAGAATCTATATTATTTTCTTTAAAGCAAAATTAAGAACGCTCTTTTTTCAAGGTATCAGGATGTCGGGGCACTTTTAATTTTGGGTCTGTTTAGTAAACGTTATCAATCTCTTCCCTTAACCATGAACCTCTAGAGGCTAGGAATACATAACTTTCTAGGGATGCAGCCCAGCACGTCCCAGGCTCGTTTTACCAAGCCCTCACTCAAGATGGAGTCGCTCTGGTTCAAACACCTCTCACACCTTGGCCTGTGGTTAGCACTGGACACTTCACCTGTGGAAGACTGTTTTATTACCTACTTAGACTCTGCTTCTTGATCCCCTTCCTATCTGACTCTTTCTGCTTTCTCAGTTGCTTTGCTTTGGCCACTTCCTGTCTCTTCCTGTAAACACTGGAGTTCTCAGGGTCCTCCACATCCTCATTTTCTTCATCTGTCCTGACTCTGATCCTGCAGCTTCAAATACAATCCATCTGCTAACCTCTACCAAAATGTTCCTATTCAGACTCTGAACTCAGACTGCAAACAGTGAATTGTCCACATGACATCTCCACTAAGTGTCCAACAGACATCTCAAACACAGCATGTCTAAAAGCAAACTCTGGGTCTCCTCTACAAAACCTGTTCCTCTCACACTCTTTTCTTCTTAGAAAATGGCAATTCTTTTTTTTTTTCAGTTATTTAGGCTGAAAATTATTATACTTATATTTAATCCTTCTTTTGTTCTCATACCCCACATTCATCAGCAGACCCATACACTCTGTTCATTTTCCATCATGTTGGGGATCCAGCCATCCTCCCATTTCCACAGTTAATTGCCAGTCTCGGCAATCATCACTGCTTGCCTAGATTATTGCAAATCTCTCCTAACTCATTTCTGCCCTTCTGCACTTGCCCCTGTTCATTCTGTTCTCAACACAGAAACGAGTGATTATTTTCAAAAGTCAGTTTATATCTCTAGTTTGCTCAAAATCCCCAGTGACTTTTCACCTCACTCCCTAAAAACATAAATTATTCTAATAATGTTCTCCGATGTCCTCTGTAAAACATGCCTCACCTCTGCTCTACGTCACATCCTGGGCTTCTCCCACCTCCCTTGCTGCTAAGACTTACCAGTTTCTCAAAAGCATCAAGCATGCCTGGGTCTCAGGGTATTGACTTTTGTCCTTCTCTCTGTCTGGGATCATCCTTCAGGATGCACAGATTTGCTCACGATGCATGAAGCAGGTTCCCTTTGCACTGGTTGTCAACTTGTCTGAGCCCAGCGAGACAGAACACACCCACAAACAGCAGGTGCCATGAAGTGGGATTTTACTCACAGATGGGCAGCAGGGAGGAAGAGGAGCCCCATATTCACTGCCAGCGGGTCCCCCAAGTCTCAGGAGAGCTGCCTGGGGAGGACGGTGTCTCCACCGCATGAGCCCCACTTGCACCGTAGCTGAGGGACACGGGAAAGCAGCTCTCCCTGGGCTTTGTACCCCAGGGTTATGGATCTTGCTTAGCTAAAGCATCGAAGGATATCCTGTCCTGGGGAAAGACTGGAAGAGAGTCCAAGCTGTTCCATTCAGCTCCTTCTTACCTCAACCTACAGCATCCCCAGCACATTTGACAGTTATTCTTGAGACATTTGAGCAAGAATAGGGGGAGAAACACATCTGAACTGTCCTGTGTTACCTCCTATGTATCTCCATACAGCATAGAATTCAAGGAGGCCAGGCCTGCTCACAGCACGTACGCTCTTTCCTGTCTATAACCCTGTTCCGTGTTCCTTCCCAGTCCCTGCCAGCATCTGACACAGGATGTAGTCACTGATTTATTGCTTTTTCCCTGCCTGAGAAAGAAAGCAAGGTCAGAGACTGTCAGTTTCATTCCCTAACGCACATCCAATCGTAGAACGGTATCTGGAACAGGGTAGGTGCTAAAATATATTTGTAAAATAAAATAACTAATTACCTATCTTCAGAATTGAAGATTCTGAATGAACCATCTGAATGATTGAAGATTCTGAATGAACCATCTGAATGAATGAACCATCTTCAGATGACATAAAAGAGTAAAGAATTTATGACAGTATGTCACAAATAGTCATTGATTAATAAGAGGTAAGTATCAATATTAAGGTCAAGCAAGACTCTTAGTTTTGAAGTATTTTGTAATAATGTAACTTTAAAGGGATTTCCATAGGAAATAAAAGAGTCTCTGTTGAATTTTTTAAAGACTATAGAGCACAGTAAAATAAATAATACGGGTGCACATAGGTGGAAGTAGATAATTAACAACAAATATTTTTTCCTTTTTTTCGAAATGGAGTCCCTGTTGCCGAGACTGGAGAGCAGTGGCTCCATCTAGGCTCACTCCAACCTCCACCTCCTGGGTGTACAAGCCACCACGCCCAGCTAATGTTTGTATTTTGAGTAGAGATGGGGTTTTGCCATTTTGGCCAGGCTGGTCTCGAACTCCTAACATCAAAGTGTTGGAATTGCAGGTGCAAGCCATCATGCCCAGCACAAATTTTTTGTTTTTTAAAAAGAACAGCTGTAGTTGATATTATTTTGTTTATATATATTTATATAATATTTTATAATTTTTAATTGTTGATAAAGAAAAATGAATTTTCTGAACTAGTACTAATTATAGGGTGTCCAAATAAAATATTTTGATTAATTTGATTAGTGAAGAACGTCTACCTGTAAAAATCATGACCCATTTTTAGAGTATTTTATTTTTATTTTATTTTTTATTATATATATTTAATTTATTCTCATATTTTTTTAATTTTTATTTTGAGTTCCAGAATAGATGTGCAGGAGGTGCAGATTTGTTATTTCGGTAAACATGAACCATGGTGGTTTGTTACACCTATCAACCCATCACCTAGGTATTAAGCCCCACACGTATTAGCTATTCATCCTGATGCTCTCCCTCCCCAGCTCCCCTCAACAGGCCCCAGTGCATGTTGTTCCTTTCCCTGTGTCCATGTGTTCTCATTGTTCAGCTCCCACTTATAAGTGAGAACATGCAGTATTTGGTTTTCTGTTCCTGCATTACTTTGAGGGTAATGGCTTCCAGTTTCATCCATGTTCCTGCAAAGCACGTGATCTCATTCCTTCTTATGGCTGCATAGCATTCCATGGTGTATATCTACCACATTTTCTTTATCCAGTCTGTCATTGATGGACATTTGGGTTGATTCCATGTCTTTGCTGTTGTGAATAGTGCTGCAGTGAACATACATGTGCATGTATCTTTATAATAGAGTGATTTATATTCCTTTGGGTATATACCCAGTAATGGGATTGCTGGGTCAAATGGTATTTCTGGTTCTAGATCTTTGAGGAATCACCACACTGTCCTCCACAATGGTTGAACTAAGTTACATTCCCACCAACAGTGTAAAAGAGTTTCTGTTTCTCCACAGCCTCGCCGGCATCTGTTGTTTCTTGACTTTTTAATAATTGTGATCTGACTGGCATGAAATGATCTCATTGTGGTTTTGATTTGCACTTCTTTACTTATCAGTGATGTTGAGCTTTTTTTCATGTTTGTTGACTGCATGGATGTCTTCTTTTGAGAAGTGTCTGTTCATGTCTTTTGCTCACTTTTTAATGGGATTGTTTGTTTTTTTTCTTGTAAATTTGTTTGAGTTCCTTGTAGATTCTGGATATTAGCCCTTTGTCAGATGGATAGATTGCAAAAATTTTCTCCCATTCTGTAGGTTGTCTGTTCACTCAGATGATAGTTTCTTTTGTCGTGCAGAAGCTCTTTACTTTAATTAGATCCCATTTGTCAGTTTTTACTTTTGTTGTAATTGCTTTTGACATTTTTGTCATGAATTCGTTGCCCGTGACTATGTCCTGAATAGTATTGCCTTGATTTTATTCTAGGGTTTTTATAGTTTTGGGTTTTACATTTAAGTCTTGAATCCACCTTGAGCTGTACTTGATTTTAAAGGAGATTCTGTATAGGGCACTGTTGTGATGCAAGATTTCCAGGTATTTCTAAGAAGAGTTATCACCTATTCAACTCTGTTTGCCAAATGAGGAGGTTGTTTTGCAAGTAAGTTGAATCAGGAAGTGCTGGTTAAAATTCATTGTTTAATAAGCCTAAAACATTGGAATAAGGTTTTTTTTCAAGACTAAACTGTCACTGTGTTACACTCAGTTCAGTTTAATTTCCAAGTATTGAAACTGTGACCGTAAACAAGTCTACAAGCAACTAGAATCACAGAGAAGCCTATTTATGAGCCAATCAGAGATTGCAGTGTGGTGCACACAGCAGCAGACACAACAGAAGCAGCCCTGTTTTACTGGAGATGCAAATATAAGCAGGCTTTAGAAGACTGTTTCTCAAACTAGCTACAATTTATGGGAAACAGAGAAGTTATGGTCTATCCATGAAGCAATTGTGTCTAAATTCAAAGGGAAGCCGTTTTCTAAGTTCGTTTGGTCGAACAAAATTATCCACCAGATTTTCCACGGCACCTTAACACGTCTAGAGTTTTCTTTCCTTTTTTGTAGGCATTTTCTTTCTTGTGTTTTTTTTTTTTTTTATCATAAAGAAAGGGCTAGAGATTCTTGTTTTCAATGTGTGATATGTTTTTAATTTTAAACACTGTTATCCCACACTTGATTTGGTTCTTAGTGGGTGACAAGGTCACCCAACAGTGAGGGATGGGGGAGGGAGCCTTGCTGGGATTTAGAGGGGCAGAGCTGTGTTTCGCTTCAATTCTTGGCGAAGTGTTACAACTTCTGAATCACGCTTTTCCTTGCACGTTTAAAATGAGAACCTTTGTGGGCTTCATAATATAATGCACATGTGTAGCTGTGTTTTAGGCTCTGGAGATGCAGATTAGAACACACATAAACCCAACTGTCATCATGATGTATAATCTAATGGGTGAAGGCATTAGCCTGGAAACAAATAATATGTATATACTTCTTATAGTAAAGGTGTTGCCCAGAAGGCAAAACCAGGAGTAGAGAAAGAGCTGGGATTGGCTTGGGGGTGGGAGGTAGGCAGTAGGGGGAAGACAACCATTTAATCTAAATCCGCCCAGGAGAGAGTGACTGAAGGATTAATGATACACATGAGGCAGCCTTGCGAACATCCTTCCAGACCTAAATTACAGCAAATGCAAGAGCCCTGCGGCCAGAACATCTTGGTATGTGGAAGGGAAAGACAAGCGGTCCCTGCTATCCGCGGGTGCAGGGAAAGGGACTGGGGCAAGACTGTAAGAGACGTGGCTCAGTGATGGAGGAGAGGCCATCTCTGGGTGTTTCAGGCTGTCCTAATGTGTTTGGATTTTATTTTCACTTCAATGAGATGCTGCTGCAGGATTTCTAGAAGGGAGATGCTTTGATGACATTGGGGTCTCACAAACGTTGCTCTGGCGGCTGTGTGCAGCATGGTGTGTAGGTGAAGCAAGAGTGGGAGCAGAGAACAACTAGGAACACTTAGGAAGACCGCAGCAGCACTCCAGGTGAGAGGAGACATTGCCTTCCACCAGGCTCTTGGTGCAAGTGGAGAAGTGTGGCTTCCCGAGTAGGATACATGTAGAGCTGTGTGACTGCTGATGAATCGCAAGTGCACGTGACGGAAAAGGGGCAATCAAAGATGGCAGGCCATGCCACGTTGCTAAGGAAGAAAAGGCCAGTCTGGCAACAAAAAGAGGAAAGCTCTATACCTTTGTTGAGTGGTGGGGAATGGGGCTCACTTTTGTGGGCACACAATCACAGGGGAGGCAACTCAGGTTAGCCAGCTCAAGTGCGGCATCGCAGGCGAGGCATCGCAGGTGGGGCATCTCAGGTGAGGCATCGCAGGTGAGGCATCTCAGGTGTATCATCTTAGGTGAGGCATCTCAGGTGCATCATCTCAGGTGAGGCATCTCAAGTGCACCATTTTAGGTGAGGCATCTCAGGTGCACCAGCCCAGGTGTGGAATCCCAGGTGCATCATCCCAGGTGAAGCATGTCAGTTGCATAATCTCAGATGAGGCATCGCACGTGTACCATCTCAGGTGAAGCATATCAGGTGCACCACTGAAGGTGAAGCATCTCAGGTGAGGCATCTCAGGTGTGCCATTGCTACTCAGTTCCAGCTGATGGTGCTAGTGGGAATGAAATGCAAGGTGTAGTTGATCCGTCATGTAATTTTTCAAGTAAAGATGTAAATCTAGAAGTCCATGTGCAATCGTTTGGTTTATAAACTTGAAACACTCTTTTAAAAACTCTGTGCATAGGATCGGGTCATTGACCATCAGGTTCTGCACATCTAGCATAAAAGGGTTTACCACAGTCTTGTAGGAAAGCCCTTTCTCTAATGAGGATATGATAAATAGAAGAATAAACGATACCCTGAGTGAATAAACAACTTTAATAGGAGAAACACTCATTATTCTCTATCCAAGAGAAGTAAAAGGAACATCAACAATGAAATATGGGAGAAGAGGCTCCTGAATTAATTTAGAAGTATTTATTGTGTCTGTAACATTTGACCAAGTTTGTGCCAAGTGCTATGGATGAGACTCTTTAATTGGTGAAGTGTTCTTGTTTTACTGTCCTAAATAAAATAGTTAAAAACTTTTGATTCTTGATAATGTATGAAGTGATATATGATTTTTGCAAATACAAAGTATTGTAAATGAATATATGTAATTTGCCTGAAATAAATGATGCTACATAAATTTCATTAAAGGAAACACAATTTCCATCATTACATTATCAGAATAATAGAGCTATCTAAAACAAACATGCAAATATTAATGTTTAAAAGAAGGATTCTTTTAGGGGGTTTGTCCAAACATTTATGAACCAATGTCTTAAATTCCTGAGGAAATCACTTTACATATTTTATTATGTTACAATTAGCTAACATATCAATTTTTGGAATGCAACAGGTGTAGTATTTGTGTCTGTTGCATGATAACTTATGATGTATAAAAAAAGTACACTAAACAACAATAAAAACTCATACAGGTGATAGGAATATGAGTCATATAAGCAAGAGTTTGCGGGCCGGGCATGATGGCTCATGCCTGTAATCCCAGCACTTTGGGAGGCCAAGGCAGGTGGATCACAAGGTCAGGAGATCGAGACTGACTATCTTGGCCAACATGGTGAAACCTGTCTCTTAAAATACAACAAATTAGCTGGGCGTGGTGGCGGGCACCTGTAGTCCCAGCTACTTGGGAGGCTGAGGCAGGGGAATTGCTGGAACCCAGGAGGCGGAGGTGGCAGTGAGCTGAGATAGTGCCACTGCACTCCAGCCCGGCAACAGAGAAAGACTCCATCTCAAAAAAAAGAAAAGAAAGAAAAGAAAAAAAGAGTTTGACCTATTGTTGCACAATGTTGCATGTGAAAGCTCCCAGTAAATACTGACTCTACTGACGACTAGGGCAATCGTACAATAAATCCTTCTAAACTAGATTTAATTTTCTCTACCTGGGATTCTTATCTGAGCCACAGAACACGGACCGTGGGACCGAACACCCAAGGATGGCACAAACCTAACAGCATTCCCGGTGCTGAAGAGATGACTTAGTCCCTTCCACACAATGGACACTTTTGGGTATTGGGGCTCCTGCCACCTGCAAGACCGGAGGAGGGAGGCTGCTCTGAGGGCACAGATCCTATTGCTCTGTGCCTACACTTCTGACCACTGCCACTAGATGGTAGTGACAGCTCACACTTCTGAATTACCGTTTCTGTTCACACTATTCATGATGGAGACAGTGACTACCAAGTACTGAATTTCTACCAGGAACCAGGCTCATCCTTCTCATGGAGGCCAATCCTCGAAGATACCCTGGAGAGGAAAAAACATAATCCCCATTAATCAAAGAGGAAACCTGGCCCAACTTCACTCAGCCCATTGGTGAACCTGCTTTCTGACTCTAAGCCCATTCTTCCTCTACAGTTGCACGTAGTAGAATCAATGGTCATGGAATTCTGACACCCTCACTTAAGTGTTAACATTAATTGAAGCCACAGGCTGCCATTTTAAATATGTTGTAAAATAATTAGTTTAAGTACAAGTTGCTGTCATACACACAAACTTATTAACTCAGCTCATTTATAAATTAATATTGATGCTTCGAGTCTTGAAAAGCAAACCTACAGTGCTCTGGATACGTCTGCTGAAAGCCCCGTGCTCTCCTATGTAATGACAGTTGATGATCCGGATATCACAGCTTGGTATCATAAAAACAATGATAATATTTATCAGCTACTTGGGGACATCTCTACTTGTGTATGGCCAGGACCTGTGACTATGACAGCGTGGTCGCTGGCTTGAGGAGGTCACTTTTTGTTTCAAGTTGCTGGGAGAGTCCCTCCCTGGATGGCCCTCTGTCATATAACTGTAACCGACTGGTGGGGGCTTCTCCTGCTAGCCTTGAAGCAGCATCCACCAGGAGGGGGAAGCTTAGTGGCCAGCCTAGAGTTCTACCTACAACAGGGCCAAATACCACACTTCATATACAAAAACTGGTGGGAGAGGAAACTGCAAGGAATCCAGCCCTTGGGAATTTTCAAAGCATGTGGGAAGGTGTGAACTGCCAAGCACTACATAATTGAAGGTTAAAATCAAGTTTACTTGGATTAACAAAAAAGCAATGAGGGGTACAAGTGCAATTTTGTTACATGCATAGATTTTGTAGTGGTTAAGACAGAGCTTTTAGGGTATCTGTTACTTGAATAAGGTACATTATACCCATTAAGTTATTTCTCATTAAGTAATTTCTCATCCTTCTTCTTCCTACCCACCAGCCCCCTTCCAAGTCTCCGTGGTCTTACAGGTCACACTCTATGTCCATGTGCATACATATTTAGCTCCCACTTATAAGTGAGAACATGGAGGCTTTTGCAGCAATGTGGATGGAACCGGAGGGAAGACCCCTTGAGGTCAGGCTGCAGGTGTCAGGGTTCACACTTTTATTTCCATTTCTGTCCTCTGGACTCAGGTTCTTCCTATAGTGACTCAGCATGGTATATAGAAAGATAGAAAGTACGGCCAAAAGCTTGAATAACTATTTCAGTGTCGTCTGTCATTAGCTTCCCACAGTGGCTGGGTGCGGTGGCTCATGCCTGTAATCCTAGAGCTTGGGAGGCTGAAACAGAAGGATCATTTCAGGCCAGGAGTTTGAGACCAGCATGGGCACCATGGTGAGACCCTGTCTCTATATAAATTAAAAAAAAAAAATATTAGCTGACTATGTTGGTACACCCTGTAGTCCCAACTACTCAGTAGGCTGAGGCAGGAGACTGGCTTAAGCCCAGGAGTTGAATGCTACGGTGAGTTCTGATTGCACCACTGCACTCCAGCCTGGGCGACAAAGCCAGATGCTGTCAATAAATAAATAAATAAGTAAATACATGTCTTACAGTAACCCTGGCTATCTTTTACTTGAATTCTGGACTAAACCATTTGTACCAAGTAGCTCCCAGATGGTTGATGAATACATCTAGGCAAAAGAGCAACGTTTCCCAAAATGTGACCCAAAGAAAATGTTGTGTGAGAAATTTGTAACAAGGAAATAAAGTAATCTTAGCTTTAAGATGCCATATGCTCAACCTGGATGCTTATGCAGTTGTTGCTTAAAGGCTCTGGGACTAGAAGAATGAAAAAGGATGTACACAATGGTTTTCTAAAATTGTTTGGCTATGGAAATGGCATTCCCAAGATACCAACTGACATCTAGCAGAAAAGCCCTTAGGAAACACAACTTTTAGATCAGTCACTGAAAGTAAATGATTGTACACTAATTTTTGAAAAGTTTTTCTTTTTTTTTTTTTTTTTGTAATTGAGAAAGCCAAAAATATCTACTTATCGCTGAGCATGAGAGAGGGTGTCATAAGTGTGATCCTCACATGCTGATAGGCACTTTGCCCAAAACAAAGGAGAGAAGATCAAGAGGCATTAAACTGAGTCTACAAAGCAATCCTGAACACGGCATTTAAAGAGAACTGAGAGGAGTGTGGAAAACAGGTCTCCAAGGAGCTTACATCAAGGTAAAGATGAAGGAAATTAATAAATTTTCAAAAGAAAGATTAATAAGTGAGTTAGATAATTGAATGCAGATCTTCTGGACTACCTAGGCAAAGGGCGTGGCATTGCAGGAGTGAGTAAGTGATGAAACACCAAGAGATGGAATTACTTCAAGGGTATTTGTTATTTCACAGTGCATATGAGTGAGAGCGGGGAATATGGGCTCTCATAGCCTCAGATACTAAAACAATCATTTCAAAGGAAGTCAAAACTAGTAACTTCAAGCAATGACTTTTATTCATAGAATATTCTTCTTCCGCAAAAGTAGATTTAAAATATAAATATTGCCAAAACAAAATTTTGTTTCATGTGCCCTCTTATCCTTAGAGAGTTCATGTGATTGGTGGACCAAAGGGATTCTTGGTGAATGACGAGCTGATACATCTGAAAGATTTCGATTGTAGATACCTACAGACTAAGATCTCTAACTGTACAGCTACTTGGGAGAAAAAAAGTGAACTTTCATGTTTTCCAGGTTTTGTGATAGTTACAAGAGTAAGGAAAGTAAAAGAGATGCCTCAAGCACCTTGGAGCTTAGTACTGAGTTCCAGGATGATACATCACGGTGGAGGCACGTGTGGTGAAATAAGTGTTAGTGGAGTGAAGCTCATGGGCCTCCCAGAGCCTCTGGGAGATTCCAGATGCAGATGAGTGGATTCAGGGAAGCAAGGGCTTCCCTGAGATTCTCATTCAACAGCAGTGTGTGAACCTGCTTTATAGACATAGTAGTGAGAGATGTCTTTGAATCACATGATGCTAAGTGAAGTAAGCTGCTCACAGGACAAATACTTCATGATTCCACTTACATGAGGAATCTAAAGGAGTTAAACTCATAGACGCTGACAGAGTCAAACCACTGTTATCAGGGAGGGGGAAATGAGGAGTCACTGTTCAAGGAGTATAAAGTTCTCTTATGTAAGATGAATAAGTTCTAGAGATCTGCTGTACAATCTCGGTTTATAGTTAATTATATTATATTGGGCATTTAAACATTTGTAAGAGGTAGATGTCATGTAATCTATCCTTATCAATAAAAATAATGAAATACAGAAAATAGGCATCTGGTTTTAGGGTGCTCTTTCTTTGTGTACAATTTTTGGCACAGAATTTGATCTTTAAATTTCTTCCTCTGCAAAAATAAGTCCTTTCATGCTTTTCCTTCATGCCAAGATGGTGATGGAAAGGTACATTGGATGAATTACGAGCTGTTTATCTCAAAGTATTTTAGACATCTTTGCCCTTAAAACACATTATTCACTTAATTTGTTATGAGTAGAAGGGAATGTATAAAATGAGGTGATTGTATGAGACTCTACATGATAATACTTTGAAAGTATATGTGCTATGTCATGGTTTATATTTAGTAATGATTTACTATTGATTAAAAAATAGATCTCAGTGTGAAATTATATTTTCTGTAGGTCATTGTGCTGTGTGCTTTAATGACTTCAAATGTGAATCAGATATAGATTATATGTCAAGAAGTTTACAGTCTTCACCATTATTATGTTGTCTATATATTGATCAATAGATATGACATACTGAAAGTGTTATTTTAAGCAAATTGTTTGGAATAAGGATGAGAATATTATTTTTTATAATTATAATTGCAGATCAGTTTCAGAGTAATAGAATGTAAAATTTTGGCGTAGTAAATCTACAATAACACCAAACGGCATGAATGCAATCACTCATCAAATCCTGTGTTGAACCTACGTCCATTTCTCAAATAAGGTGATCTAAAGTCCTGATCATCTGAGGGGAAGGTTGGGATATGGAGGAGAGGTAAAAACCAGGCAAGGAAATGTCAGACACAGCTGTTTTAGGAAGGAGGAGGAGAGTTGCCACAAGTCCATCTTTCTTCTAGCTCACCATCCTCACCACTCGCTCATACACACACAGATTGGTGTGAAAATGTGTGCCAATAGCCAGGAGATTCTTAAAACCCTGGCTGATGTCCCAGAAGAGCCAGCCAGTGACACCATGCAGAATCATGTGAAGTGGCCTCATTGTCTGGCTTGACACCTAGAGTTCTTGGTCTCACACCCAAGGAAATCAAGGACACGGACATACTAAGGGTGAGGTTTAGAGCAGAAATTTCATAGGAGAAACAAAGCGAACACCTTTCTACTCCAGAGAGGAGTCCCAGAAAAAAAATGTTGCCATCTCAAAGTGGAATGTAGGGGCTTTCATAGACGAGCTAATCATGAGGCAGTATCTGATCTAGACAGGGCATGAAAAACTGTTTAGGACCAGGTGTGCCATCTGCATAGGGCATGAATCTGTGGGATCCCCCATTCCAGTCTTTTATTTTGCAGGTGGGTCCTCAGCCTAAGCTACTGCATGTTGCTCATTTCTTTCTTACTGTGCATGTGCTGATTAGGGGAGAGGTGGGGCCCCATGGTGGACCGGCCTGGCCCCACGTAGCCGTTTCTCTCTGTGCAACTGCTGGCATCCCCCTGTGTAAGCTTCTAGCTTGCTTATCTATGTTTGCAGCCCGATCTTCCAGGCTGCTCTTTGTTAGAAAAGAAGTGATTTCTTGGGGTTTTTTTGTGTTACAAGGGAAGTTCTGCTGAGGACTCTTTGCCCTCATTATCTGCATAAATAGTTTTTGTTCTACTTCCTGTATTGCACCTATGCTAACACATAACCTGGAGTGGACCAGCCTCCCACGGGGCCAGACCACAGATGGAACCTGGACTGCATGGCAGGGCTCCCAGAACTTCTGGCTGCCTCCCTCTCACTGCCTTCTTCTTTATGCTACCCTGGGGCATTTCAATAATCTCACAATGACAGGATCACCTTTTATATTTGATTTTTTGAGGGGTGATGTTTATCACATATAGAATAATGTTACTATTGTGTTTTATAATTCCAGATTCTATAATGAAAACACATCTGAGCAAATGCCGCATAAGTCGGATAGGGGCTAAAAAAGATTTTAGTTAAAGGTTTTGATTACTAGTACTCACACAACAACAAATAATAATAATTAATATCCATGGTGAATAAAAGCCAGAGGAAATGGGAGGGACCTGAAAAGTTATTTTAGGTTGTTTTAAATTAGGTGAATCTCCAGAAATTATGCTTATTTTCTTAAAGTAGTATGGGCCAGGTGTGGTGGCTCACACCTGTAATCCCAGCACTTTGGGAGGCCTAGGTGGGCAGGTCACCTGAGGTCAGGAGTTTGAGATCAGCCTGGCCAACATGGCAAAACCCCTTCTCTACTACAAATACAAAAAAAAAAAAATTAGCTGGGCATGGTGGTGTGTGCCTGCAGTCCCAGCTACTCAGGAAGCTGAGGCAGGAGAATCGCTTGAACCTGGGAGGTGGAGGTTGCAGTGAGATCGTACCACTGCATTCCAGTCTGGATGACAGAATGAGACTCCATCTTAAAAAAAAAAATAGGAAAAAGGAGAGGCGTCAAGATTCACTGCAGCAGGGCAGGCATGGTGGCTCATGCCTGTAATAGTAGCACTTTGGGAGGCCAAGGCAGGAGAATCACCTGAGGTCAGGAATTTGAGACCAGCCTGGCCAACATGGTGAAACTGTCTCTACTAAAAATACAAAAATTAGCTGGCTGTGGTGGCGGGTGCCTGTAATACTTGTAATCCTAGCTACTTGAGAAGCTGAGGCAGGAGAATCACTTGAACCCAGAAGGCAGAGGTTGCTGTGAGCCTAGCTCACACCCCTGCATTCCAGCTTGGGGAACAGAGCAAGACTCCACCTCAAAACAAAAACAAAACAAAACGAAAAGATTCACTGTACATTTTGCTTTTATTAGTTTAATAGCAGAAGGAAAGCTAGGAAATTTACAAATATGTGGAAGTTAAACAACACACCTAAACAATCATTAGATCGAAGAAAAAATCACAAGGGAAATTGGAAACTTCCTTGAGACAAATGAAAATGAAATTACAACATACCAAAACTTACAGGATGCAGCCAAAACAGGGCCAAGAGGGACATTTGTAGCTGTAAACCATCACATTAAAATATAAGATATTGAATCAACAACCTAATATATTTTAAAGAGCTATAAAAAAAGAGCAAACTAAATCTGAAGCTTGCAGAAAGAAGGAATTAATAAAGATTGGAGGAGAGATGAATAGAGAAAACAACAGAGAAAATGAACTTAAACCAAGTTGCTTTTTGAAAAGATCAATAAAATTGAAACCTTTAGTGTCATGGATTATGAAAATGGTCATAGACTGAGCATTTAGCATGTATACTCACGGCTCATTCTTCTATCACTGATAAAATTAAATTGTCATGGGGAAACAAAAATGACATATGGCACATCATTTCGTGGGCAAATTTATTGTGTATATATTTACAAATGTTGATTCTATGACTAGAAAGGCCTCGGCTTTCCATAAGCAGCTTGCCCTGCTTCTCTCTTGCTATAATTAATTTATTGTCCAAGAAAATGTAGGCTTACAGATCACTGAGAGTGGGAAAATTCCAGGAGGGATTGCTCAGAAGAGGAAACGAAGTATGTTGATGCATTTTGCATGGCTAAATTCCGTTTCCTGTGAGTAAAACAACAGATATATCTCCCAAGATGTATTTGTACATATGAGTTGCTTAGTAAGCTCTTCTGAGAAGCTGATACTCTTCCTCAAAGCAAACACTATACTTTTGACAAATCACGAACTAGGCGTCAGAAGATGTGCATCGCATTCCTGTGATTCTACTCTTCCATTGTGTGGTCTTGGAAAAGGTAGTTAAATAATCTGGCATTAAAATTTCTCCTCTATATGATTAGAGCCAGAGTCACATAATCCCAATTTCTTCCTTTAACCCAAATTTATGATTCTGTCTTACAAAAATTCCTGCTGAATTCCTCATGTATCAACCCCCCATCTCCTTCAATATAGTCAATTATTTTAAGAGGGAGTTACTCTTTCTTGAATTGATTTAGTACACTTAAGTGTGTTGGCCATGTGCAACTTCAAAGCTGCTTATTTTGCATTCTTCAAATTAATGCAAAAAAATCATGGAAAAGAACTTGCATTGAAATATGAGCTACTGGCATTTTGCATTTTAATAACACAACTCTTGACTTTGGTAGTCTGATTCAAACAGTAGGACCTAAATCAGTAGCGTATGTATTGTCTTTACTACACAATTGGATATTTTAATGAAATAATGATTAGTTCACTTTTCAAAGAAGTCGGTATATTCTGTTGAAAGTGTCTGTGTTACAGCTTGTACTAAAGTGAGCCTTGTTCGAAAGCTCTGTTGAGATTGATAATATTTTGGGCTTCTGAAAATATGTCAGTATAAATGTATATCAACTGTCATACTTTTCACTGGCATGTAATTATCTAAGGATTATATTATTTATCATATTTTTGCAGATAAATGCAAATGAAATGCACAGTTATAATACATACAGAGTATTAAAACTCATTTAGTTGGCATTCTTATGTTTAAATGGAGAACTATTTCCAGTAATAATTTTATCCAGGTGTTTTCTGTCTGTCAACCTTCAGTTTTGCAGGAAATTAATAGTCTCAGCAATTGGAACATTCACTATTCCAATCCCTCAAGCTTTTCCATATGCACTGACATTTTTGTGTGAGGTGCAGCCACCATGTCCCAGAAATCAAGAAGAATTTCAAGACATTTAATTAGTCAGTTAATATAAATTTGTATTTTGAAATTCAAATTGTGTGTTGTATACAGTTTACTGAACCAAAACACTTTGTTTGATTAATTTTATGGAAATGAGATGTGATTATCAGGAAGAAGAGCCCACAGGGTTCCTAAGGAAATGTCTTCTTCCTCAAGGTTTGGAAGCTGAAGCAAGGCATAGAAGCAGGCATGGCTAGACTTGCATACAGAGCCATCCTCCTTCCCCCACGAGTGCTAAGACAAGTGCTCTTAGATATTTGTATTCTCTTGTGCCTGTCACCTTTCCTTTGGTATAAATAGAGAGGGGAAGAATTTTGGCACTGAGCTATTAGCAAAACACCTCAGTGGCATACAAGAACCTGGTGATTTGAGATGTGTCTATCCCTTTCCACAACACATAATTCAAAATGCAGTACTTAATATTTGTGCAACAAAATCAAACTTTGATTCTACCAGGGGAGTTAACCATGCAAAATAATTCTATGTCAGCTCCCTTTGTAAAATAAAGAATCACTTTCCAGTATTCCTCATTTCCCCCTGTATCAGTGGTTCTTATATGGGGGTGGTTTGGATTTTGCCACCCAGGGGACAAATGGCAATGGCTGGAGACAGTTTTGGTTGTCAGAAACCCAGGGAGAAGTACGACTGGCGTGTGGTGGGCGGAGGCCACAGAATCTGCCAGATAAACTGACCTGCACAGAACTGCCCTACAACCAAGACTTAGCCAGCCTGTAATGTCCGTGGTGCTGAGGCTGAGAAACCTGTTTCTAAATGTATCTCTCTGTTAAGAGATGCACATCTACTGTTATTAAACAGGATGTTTTGTAACTTTATTTTGAAATACTTACAGATCCAAAGGGTTGAATAAAACAGTACAGAGAAGTCCTGTCTTCGTTTCACCCACCCCTCCCACCAGTGGTAAGGGTCACATTGCTCTAAGCCAAAAGCAGAGCCAGCAAATTGGCAAGGGGATGAGCTGCAGACCTGGTTTGAGATTTCACCAGATTCATGGACTCTTAGATGCCCGTGTGTGTGTGTGTGTATAGAGTTCTGTGCGATTTTATCACAGGTATCAATTCTTGTGACCATGGCCACAATCGAGATACCACCCAGCTCCCTCACCAGGCAGACCTCCCCTGGGAAACCTTTTCATAGTGACATCCCACCCTCGCCCACACAGACTGTAATCTTTAGCAACCTCTAATCTAGTTCCCATCCCTATAATTTTGTCATTTCAAGAATGTTATACAAACGAAATCATACACTATGTAACCTTTTAGAATGGCTTTTTGAAAGGGCACGAGTGCCTTTAAAAATAAGAAATGAATATGATGTCAGATTAGCTGATTTCTCCCATTATAATTCCCTATCAGCGCCCTGTACCAATTAGGAGCCAATTAACATTTGGTTCTGAGTAGTGGAAAATAAAAATAATAGTGTTTTATATTAAAATTTTATTTTTTTGTGTTATAAAAACGTGGAGAGAGACATCCGAGGGCTCATATGTTGTCTTCTTCTGGGTTCTGGGCTCCTTCTGGCATTTTCTGGGCTTTCTTTGCAGCGTGGCACTGACCCGGCATGCATACGACAACTGCAGCCCAGCCACATTCTGAGTAGGGAGAGGCAACCAGAAAAGGATATAGCCCCACCCTCCAGAGGGCTGCACCCAACAACATAGACTCATTGACAAAGATCTTATCCCCTGGACACCATTAGATGAAAGGAATATTAGGAATGTGAATTACTAGCACTTTACCTCTCCAAAGAAAATGATGATTGGGTAAATAAGAAAGCAAAGGAGAATACAGGTTGTTACATACATAACCAGCGTCGTCTGCTGCAAATACTAGGAAGTGTGTTTTACAGGAAGGGAAACTGAATGAGGGTAAGTAACTTATTGAAGGGGATACAGCTAGGAAGTGACAATTTTGGCTTTGAAGCCAGATCTTTTATTTTGCATCCGGGCAAATAGTGTAAAATATCGATCGGGAAGGTACCTTGGAAAAATTATTTACTAATACTTGTAGGATCACACATTGCCCTAGAATAAACACAGGCAATGATGCATTAGTGACACTCTGGGGCCGTTCCCATTCCTGGGAGCTTGCTTTTGAGTGTTTTATGTAGGATGCTTGGTCCAGAGAGCAAATTCTACAGAATAGCCAGCTTCTGGTAATATATCTGCTGTGTCTAAACTGCATACTAACTTTAGGCCACTTAAAAATTTAAATATATTTAGGATTGAAGAAGACGTTATTACTCTCAACTCACACCAAAGGGATTTGGAGTGTCCAATTTCCACAAAAAAAAAATATATTTTAAACATTGCCTATATCTATTTGCTTTTCTTTTCTTTTGGTAGCTTTATATTTTAAGACAATTTATATTCTATAGAAGGTTCAGGAAGGAAAAACGATGTAGTCTTATGATTGATGAGAAAATGTCAGAAATATGATATATGCCACATTTCTGAATTAATTGAAACTTGCCACTTTCAATTTCTAAACAGAATGTAGACTGTTTTTAAAGCTGAATTGACAATTCAGCATGTTGATGGTTCTTTGAAGCTACATATACCCAGGCTATTAATTGTTTAATTTGGGTAAATTATTTAAGCTCCATCCCATGTTTGCTTGTCCTAGAGAGGTGCTGATTTTACCAGAGCTGAAGAATTGTTGTAAGGCTTAAGAACAATGCATGTAATACGATTTGTGTGTGGTAGGTGCCCAGTTGGCTGTCTTATACAGATCAAGTTAATAACATTTTCTAATGGGGGTTCTGGAGACCTGGGGGGCTATTGATTTTTTCCGTGTGTCAACTTAGTGGTAAGCAACCAAGTTTCTATTAGAAATTCTTACAACGTGATGTTCCCATTCATTTCCTTTGAAAGTACATTGCGACAACTAGGTGTTAAAATCTGAGTGGTTCATAGGAAGCTGGGTACATAGAGCAGCATTTAATTCCATTGATTGCTATCATGATGAGATTGATAGAATGTCAGGCAAGAGGTTTTGAAGATACGATGCCCTCCTAGTGACAGACTTATCCCTCTGCTTGTTCCCTGAACTGTCAAGAGAGGCAATCGCTTTCACCAATATTTTCAGAGTAAAATCAGTGTCAGGGTACTGCGTTTCTTATCACGGAGGATAGCTCTTCATGTCCTGCTGTCAGTTATAAAATGGCTTGGCTTGTAAATTTTTGTGAACTCAGTACCTGGGATATTACTATGATTACCTTGAAATTAAATCCACCTTAGAATTTTGATCCTTATCCTGCCTCCCAGAGTGCTTTTGAAATGCTGCCCTTCTCACTGGAAATGCTAATTCCTTTTTAACCTGGTCTGTTGCTTTGAAAGTTCCTGAGTGCTTTTAAGGACCCTCAGTTCCAGGGATGCTATCTCCCCTAAGGAAGGTCAAATCCTGAATGATTTCTGACGGCTGAGTCTCACACAGAACACAGACAAGAAGACCCTACTGAGACTCAAGACTCACTGTATGTGGCTTGAGCCTTCTATGTGTGTAACTTTGAGCTTGAAAAATAAGAGATTCACTTTAGTTGGCTTTTCAGATAGAGTTTATTCGGCGTTGGACCAAGGGATTGGGGCAGAAAATAAATGCCAACTTGATGATACATACATTATCATTTTTCCTGGGGTGCCTAATGAGTGTACAGTGTGCTTTTTAGAAACATTTTTTTTTTACATTTCATGATACCAAGTTTATTACTATTTTTAACTCCACCAAAAATTTGTTCTTAAATACAGTGATGTTAAAATAGAAAGGAAGTTGTAAAGGCTCTGTGTGTGCATGTGTGTCTGTGCATGTGTGTACTTCTGTGTGCATGTCTCTCGGTGCACTTGCATATGTGCATGTGTGTGTGCACATGTCTCGGTGTGCATGTGTGTGTGTGCATGTATGTGCTTGTGTGTGCACGTCTCTTTGGTGCATGTGTGTACATGTGTTTTTGCATGGGTCTGTGTGTGTGCACATGTCTCTCTGGGTGTGCATGTGTGTATGTGCATGTGTGTGGATGTGTGTCCTTGTGTGTGCATAAGTGTCTGGGTATGCATGTGTGTGTGCATGTGTGTGCTTGTGTGTGCGTATGTCTTTGCATGTGTGCATCTGTGCATGTGTGTACTTGTGTGTGCACATGTCTTTCTGGGTGTGCATGCATATGTGCATGTGTGCGTGCAGATGCAGATGTGTCTGGTTGTGTGTGCATATGTCTGGGTGTGCATGTGTGTGTATGTGCATGTGTGCACTTGTGTGCGCCTGTCTTTCTGGGTGTGCATGTGTGTGTGCATGTTTATGTGTGCATATGTCTCTGAGTGTACGTGTGTGTGCATGTATATGTGCGTGTGTGTGTGCTTGTGTGTATGTCTCTGGGTGTGTATGTGTGTATGTGTGTGCATATTGTCTGGGTTGCATGTGTGTGCATATGTGAGTATGTGCATGTGTGTGCACGTCTCTGGCTGTGCATGCATATGTGCGTGTGTGTGTATGTATGTGCACATATGTCCATATGTCTCTCTGGGTGTGCATGCGTGTGTGCATGTGTAAGTGTGTGCATGTGTGTGCACGTGTCTCTGGGTGTGCATGTGTGTGTGTGTGCACGTGCACATGTGTGCATATGTGTCTCTGGGTGTGCATGTGTGTGTGCATGTGTAAGTGTGCATGTGTATGCACGTGTCTGAGTGTGCATGCATATGTGTGTGTGCGTGTACATGTGTGCATATGTCTCTGTGCATGTGTGTGCATGTGTAAGTGTGTGCATGCGCATGCACATGTGTCTCTGGGTGTGCATGCATATGTGCGTGTGTGTATGTGCACATGTGTGCATATGTCTCTGGGTGTGCATGTGTGTGCATGTGTGTGTGCATGTGTATGCATGTGTCTCTGAGTGTGCATGCATATGTGTGTGCATGCACATGTGTGCATATGTCTCTCTGGGTGTACGTGTGTGTGCATGTGTAACTGTGCCTGTGTGTGCACGTGTCTCGGTGTGCATGCATGTGTGTGTGTACATGCACATGTGTGCATATGTCTGTGTGTACATGTGTGTGTGCATCTGTGTGCACATGTGTCTGGGTGTGCGTGTGTGTGTGCATATTTTCACGTCAGATCACCTTTCTGCTGCCAGCCATCCACAGGTGGGCGAATTGGACTTTAGGCACCTTATTCTCTCTAGGGCTCAGTTTCTGCATCTAGGTTGCAAACGCTTTGATCTCTCATTGAGAGCTTTCTTTGTCCCTCAAAGTTCCATCTCACGTAATCTCAGAATGACACTGTGTTGCCACAATAGAACAAAATAATTTAGTAAAGCAAAAATAATTACAGAAATAGGTTATTCTTATGTAGGCTTTATTTTAAATCCTATATGGTAGATGCTTTAGGTCTTACTATGATCCATAGCATGCGGGATAATTATGGACACAGTTGTATTTGATTCCAAGTAGCCCAGCATCTACTTTGAGGAATGCCAAGGAGGACAATTTTCTACGTGTTTAGGAAAAATGTGCAGATGTAACTATAATATTGGATGTGGAGTTAGAGACCTGAATTCAATTTTTAACTCTTATTTTTAAGAGTAGTGTGTGTGTGTGTGTGTGTGTGTGGGTGTGTGTATATATGTATCTCCATTTTGTATGTATATAAAATAGATAAATGAGTAGACAGGTTTAAATATTTGTCAATATATAAATATATTGATATTTTATACATGATAATATATAAATATATTGAAAGGTAATATTTAATATAATTTACATTAAATATATAATTATATATATCTAACAAATTATATGTCAAATAAAATACGTAATTTAATATGTAACCATGAAAAATGTGTTGGGTTCCCTGGGCATTGTGGTAGAGCACTTTGTAGTTCCCGAATGCCACATATTAAGGTGCAGAATCAGTATCGGTGTGAATGTACCGGGACGACTGATCTACTCCTCACTGAAACTCACATGTCACAAAGTCTGCAATAAAGTACTGCCATGTGATCATCTACCCTTCTTGGAGTGTGGGCTGCCTGAAACATGAGTAGTGTTCCCATTTCTTTCTCTATTCTCAGTCATAAAGTACTTATAACTCAGGGGGCTACCAATGTTCCAGTAAACAAAACTCACAAAATATTTTGTAAATTGTTATGCCATCTAAAAGTAAATGCAGCTGTCTCTTTGCCTGGAGAAATCGAAGCTGCTGGTAGATACAAAACCCCCACACGAAATGGAAACAATATATATTTTTATACTTGTTCCTGACATACATTCCTTTAAATGTTAAGTCAAAAGATATCCTTTACAATTTCCTCTCCTCTTTTTTCTTACTTCGTAGTTGCCAATAAAAAGCTGTTGCTTAATGGAAATTATTGTTTTCAAAGTAATATCATATGCAATATTTTATGTAAGATAAAATAATAAAAAATTTAATCATATAACGATTTTTCACATTGCTGAACACTTCGAATAATTTGACTTTGCAGTCAGAGTGGTAGTTTAAAGAATACAGAATTGAGGGTTAAAAAAAGTTAATGCAATTTAGATAAACATCCCAAATATCTATAAGGAGAAAAATTATTCACACAGGCAATACTCTAATGTAATTGAGATGAAAGATAATGCAAATACTTGTTTACACTGTGTGGAAATGAAAGTTTTGTTAATTGCATTTTTGTACTTTCCAATATGTGATGAATATGGATTTAATTGGGTTTGCCTCAGCTTTTATTGACAACACAAAATTTGGCATCAAACTGTTCCGCGGTATTAGAATAGATAGTATGATAATATACATTTCTTAAAGCTAAGAAGGTGTGTATACAGAGAATCCATTCTTTGTCATTCAATGCATTTTGTTCTGGGAATACAATAAATGAGAATTTACTTAACATCTTTGAGGCATACTGTTCTCATTAAGAAAATTCTGGTCATGGTTGATGACCTTTAACATCACTTCCAGTTATAACATTTACTGTTTAATCCTCCTGTAAATGTACTTTGCTCCGTGTACAAGGGATTTAGCTAAACACCAAGAAGGAGCAATGATGGTCAGTAATAGATCCAACTTGGGAGTAACTTATGTTTACTGATGAGATAAGATACTCAGGCAGATCATTGTAATACAGGGACCGGCATGACCACAGCAAGGAACAATGCTATGGGCCATGAAGTTCAAGGCCAGTGAGCTTCCTAGCTTGCTCAAGGAGGACTTCATGGAAATGGTGGCACTGAATTGTTGCTGGGAAGACAACAGGGCTGACATCATGGGAGAAGGGCCAACAGCAAAGAAACAGAGGTGAAAAGACATGTGAATTTGAGAGAGAGTAAGTCATTAACTTGGCTCTGAGCACAGGGAGGAAGCAGATTGGACGAATCCCTGGGGAAATCAGCAACAGTGAGAAACCAGGGAAGGTGTTTAAGCAAGGGTGGTGGGTGTGAAAAAAATAGAGTTAACCTGTTTTAATAAATACATTCATTTTCAGTGTGTAGGATGGACTGGAATGGTGACTGGTAGAAAGTGGGAAGACTTTTAGGAGATAATGACAGTAAAATTAGAGGTTGTGTGTGACTGGAGGCATAAAGTTCTAGGGGTGACAGGTGAAGAACATGAGGAATGGATGCTCCAGAGAGGGCTTTGACTTTGATGGGCACATGGTTTTCCACGGAGCACAAAGGGGAGCAAAGGAGGAACCAACAATCATCCCAAATGTTGAAGCTCAGTGACCAGGAGGTTCCAGTGCTAGACACAAGGGTGACAAAGCCTAAGTGGGGTTCAGGCTGGGAGAGGTTGTATTTGAGGTGTTGATGTTTCCTAGTGGAGATTTCCTCTACAGATGTGGTGATGGGGTTTGGAGACTGGCTGGTGATAAGCAAGTGTCATTGTAGGATATACACACAAAAAAAGGTGGGCAGCCATGCAACAAGCAGAAGGTAGAAAAACAGACTTAAAGAAACAAATAAACAAACAAAAGAGGACCCGGAGATGCAGGTGAACCAGGAAACAGCCAGTGAATGAGCAAGCAGTAAATGGTGTTGTCTGTGAGTTTTAAAGGTTAAATGTACGCACTTCTAGAAATGATGGGATTTGACAACCAAGCTAAAACATGATATAAAATTGACAAGATAATAAACATTTTATTTTGTTGACTACAGTCTAGCAATAGTAACTTGATATTTTAAGATTGTTTTATTTTTAAGATATGCTTTTTTAGCTGTATGTGATGATATACTTTTTATGGTTGAAGTGTTTATTTTTGAGGATCATAATTATTAGTCAAAATATTCTTCTGCAGTTTATGTCACTGATATCAAAGCCAGTTCTTCAACATTTTGGAATAGAGGAGGTTGAAACTTCAAGTTTGGTATGGTGCTTCCTCTCTGGCCAACCTATAATCAACTTATCTACATATAGTTATGAAGTACTTTTAAAAATTATAATTTAAGTGAAATTCTCTTCTTCTCGGTTCTGGTTTCTTAACAGTAATTCTCATATAAATTATTTCTCTGTGCCTGTAAGTATGTTTAAGAAGCATAAATGATAGAATTTTACTATTATTACTGTGGAGCAAGTTTCACAACTATACGTGTATATATATATATATATATAGGTATATACACACACACACATATATATGCACACAGATAAAGAAGTTTTAAAAAAGTGTGCCTGACTTTCAGCGAAATTATATTAGCGTTGAGTTTATAAAAGTAAACTACTGTAGAAAACCACTATAAATGTATTAATTGAGTAAAATAATTGCTATTTTAGTGGGAGGTTGATGGGATGGTTGATACCATGGTAAGAAGAGGTAACAGTAATGTAGCAGTTAATTTATTATTAAATGATGCAAGTGTTCCATACAGCCAACTTTCTATCTTTACACATATCACAGAAAACACAACCCCATTGTATAGCGTGCACCACTTTATTCATTAAATTAATGAAGCAGCCATGGCCTGCATGCTGCTTGATAAGCTTTCGTATGCATGTGCTACAGATAGCTGAGTGGCACATTGCCTCATCCCTTTCTGATTTGAAGGTAGTCTCTACCAAGGTACTCATTGGTCCTCATGGCGGGGAAGGTCAAAATGAGCTTTCTGACACTGTGCTGTATACTAGACAAGCTGGCTGGAGTTTGAATGTAGTCTCAATTGTGAGCCTGTGTTTCCTCTCAGATGATCAAGAAACTTCATCTTTTACATGAACCAGCATGCAATTACCAGACTAGTGAATTGATATGCATAATCCATAGAAACCCTTTCAAGATTGACTTCTTTTTCTGCAGATAAATTTTTATTTGGGGTTGGAGCTAACAGTAGAAGCTGTTTTTGAATTTGAAGACTCAGGTATTTTCAGAAAGAAAAATATGAACAGGACAAAATGTTTATATGCAGGGAAAGAAAAAGTGTTGGTAATTTTGCCCTTCAGTGATAATTAATCACGTGTTCAGGATTAAGGAATTTTTAGCTTATTAAATAGGTATGTTTTTCTTTTTAAGTTGTGCAGTACCCAAATATTTGCACAGGGGACAGTGAGGCACAAAAGTCAAATTCCTTAACTCTGGTTTTAAGAGGATTTTTAAAATGTTGCGATAGAAACAGAAGTTAGCTTGCAAATTGTTTAAAAACAGATCATTTATATTTCAGTTTAAAAGTGCTACATAACATTGTTGTGTTGAAACCAAATAAAAGGGACAATATGAGGAGATTCAACAGCTCTCAGGATAAGTGTCTTACGGACTCACTGTAAATAGGACTGTCTTGTTATAGTATGACTGGCGATGTGAATAATATTTATTAGTTTGATTTATAGAAAGTTTGCATGGTGTCTAGTTCCATCTAGTAATTAATTCTAACAAACAGAGCATGTAATGAACTGTTCTTCTCCACATTCCTCAAGGACTTTGAAAACCACACCAACTACTTACTTAAATTATTCTTTGGGGCATGATTAGTTGTTTCTCATTTGTTTTATTTGTTTCTTCCTTTCATTTTTGATACCCTACATTAACTCCCAATTCTGAGTTATTTTGAAAAGCTGTATTGTTGCATTCTAATTTACTTTCACATAGATACTGCATTTTACTTTATGGCAATCATTGATCATTTTAGTCATTTTTCTGATTCTTTGTTGAGTCTACCAATGAGATTTTACAAAAGCAATATTGTTTCTATGTGTCAGAATTTTAAAAGCAGATTTTTGTGTGTCTCCGTCTATTTCTAAATACAATGGCATCTGGAATATTTACAATTAAATGGTTGTTTCTTATATGATGTTGGTACGCAGGTTTGCATTTAAGCTCCAGAGGAATTTGCGTCAGCTTTTGGCTGCATGAAATAATTCTCTCTTATATAATTTTCTCTTATTTGAAGAAACATATTTATGAAGGAAAATTAAAACTACAAAAAGATTAAAAAATAAGTAATCATTGGTCCATAGTTCGCTAATAACCATACAACATTTTGGTATATTTCCATTCTTTTTTTTCTAGAAATAGTTAATATTGTTTTGTAGTTATAATCTATAGTCATATTGTTTTATAGTTATAATCACATTTTCTAAACACTTGAATCTGATGATAAATCTTCTTGAGGGAGATAATTTTCTAGAGTTGTTTCTTAAGTTCACCTACATGATTTATATGATTATTTATTGATGAGGTTTAATAATTCATGAAGATTTGACTTGTTGAAGCTATTAACTGTGGAAGGAGGCCCCGAACTCTTCACATTTCTTTAAATCTCCTTTAAGAATGGGGTTGTAAGCCTGCAGTTGAGGATTTCTAGGATGGGTCGTTGGGTGTTTCTTCTCATAGACTAAAAGGGAATTCTGCTCGTTATTTTTTGTTACAAATTTCCCAGCCTTGAATTCTTCATTTTAATTAATCTCTCAGCCCTATGAGTTATACTATCAAAAAATGTGACTGAATTCGTTTGTGTCTACAAGTGAAAAATTGTGTTAGCTAGACCAAAATTCTTTCAGAAAGCCTTTTTCCCCAAAAAAATCGTATAGTAAATATTATTCCCTCAGCCTGTATTTGGTATTGCAGAGGACAGCAGTGTGGAATGAGACTTCTCCTCCCATTCTCCCAGGGACTTGTGTGACATTGGAACCTGACATTTTCTAAGTATTTTTTATCAAACTATCTTTACCTGCAAATTTCACTGGCAATTTGGAAATCAATGCATAGGTTGGAGTGTAGAGGACTCTCTTTGCTTGGATACTAAGGATTGTTTATCAGCTTCCTTAAAACACTTAATAACACCACTATAGTTTTGCTTGTTTCCTTAAATTTTACTTGGATTGCCTGTTCTCTGCCAGCCCTCTTCTTTCCATCTTTTGTTCTCTTGTGATTCACAACTCTGTGTCTTTTCAAGTTTTCCCTCTAATCACAGATTTTATTAATTCTACTGGCAATTCTGAGATGCAAAGAGAGTCAAACATCTGGTGACAGGCATGAGAAGGGATGAGCATGAGGAGCACACTGCAGGAGGGAGCTAGCCACACCATGGCCTCCTTCCTCTCCTGAGAAGGCCGCCAGATGCCCCTTCCCTGGAGCTGTCGGTTCCAGTGTCCCCTTGATCTGACACCACACCAGCTCCTTTGCTCACCATGACACCTAACCAGTGCCCTGTTTTCTGTGTTTTCACCCTCATTCTTACAGAAGCATCCTCTTTATCCACTCGTTGATTGACGGGCATTTGGGTTGGTTCTACGATTTTGCAGTTGTGAATTGTGCTGCTATAAACATGTGTGTGCAAGTATCTTTATCAAATAATGAGTTCCTTTCCTCTGGGTAGATACTCAGCGATGGGATTGTTGGGCCAAATGGTAGTTCTACTTTTAGTTATGTAACTACAGATAAGGTGCAGTGTATACTGCTGTGGTGAGGCATGCCCCAAAATATCACAAATCTCCACCAAAGAACTTTCTCATGTAACCAAATACCACCTGTACCCCAATACATTATAGAAAAACACAATAATTAAAATTAAAAACAATAACAACAAAAATAAACATCCTCTTAAACTTTGAGTAAATTTCTGTGGCCACTGAAAGATTTTCAAGCAGACATGACCTGATAATGTGATGTGCTTCTCACAAAGGTGTAATGAGAGGAGTAGCATAGATACTACAGCCTCTTCACAGACACTGAAGTGGCAACTCCAATGACTCACTCAACCAGGCCTGGCTAGACGATTTTGAAAACTAGTCTGCATTCCAGGGCTTTTGACACATCCCAGTATTTTTCTATTATACTAAGCTGTCTTGCAACTTGGAAGAAGTCTATTCATCTGCTATGTTGACCTTCTTTGGATTCTTTATAATCCCAGAACTTAGCATTTACTGGAGCTCCATACCTATGCACAGCTGGTGAGTCTTAGGTTTTGCAAGTGCTGCAGAATGTCCCTTTCCAGGACAGTTATATTCAAATTTGGAGACAATATTAGTGGATAAGGATATTGTCTTTGAAATCAAAATGCATAGATTTACATTCTGTTCCTCCTCTTTCTGTGAGACCACACTCAAGTAACCAGGCTGTCTGAGCTCCAGTTTCCCAGTTCTACAGTAGGGAGTTCTAATAGGATCATCTCCACAGAGATGTTGAGTTAATTGAGTAGACTTACTAATTTTAAACCTTTAGAACATTGACTGGCAACGAACAGTTTGGTACGTCACTCAAACACATACTAGTATTCATTATTTTAGCCTTCTGCTGTAACCAAACACTATTTCAAGATATGCTATGAGAAGTTAATTTTCCCCACGCTGAAGTCCAGTTTTCTTTCCGTATGTATAATAGGCAATTCCATTGCCCAGTGTCATGACTGACACTTCCTACATGTTCAGAAAGTAGTTGTTAAATGAAGTCAATGGGGAAGGCATACACCTGAATTAATGAATGCTGAATAACATTCTTCATTTTGGCCTAGAATATGTGATGATTGACTTGTTCCAAGTTGGTCTGTTGCAAGTTGGCCACATTTCCAGTGGCCTGCCAAGTACACGTGCCACAGTAATAAGTTTTCTGTTGGAAACATTCTAAACTTCCGAAAACGGCAATGGGAGAGCATGTCCTGCTTTCTCATTCTCCTGAACAGTTGCCAACCATTTTTTTATTTTTCCAGTGGTACTTGTGAACAAACAAGGAAATAATTGTGTGTATTCCTCTCTTGCAAATCTCTAGTTAGCAAATTTGTCACCAAGTGTCTAAACTTCACCAACATTTTCAAGATCATAAAGAGCCTTAGTTTTTGTTGATCTTGCACAGTGGTGATCTGTAGCTGTGTGAGTGCACGGAACAGCATGCCAGCATCAGCTCAGATATCATTATTTACACCACATACTCCAGAAAAAGCAGGTACAGTGCTGTTATTTATATTAAGGACAAATAGGATGTCAAATGTACTTGACATTTAATTTCCTCAAATCTTTAAAATTTCATAGAGAGTAGGACTTTCATGACTACTTCTTGATCCTTCGCATGTATTCAAGATGAATTATAACATTAATGACTGATTTTTTAAATGTGTAAAATGTTCATTAACTGTATTATTATTTTGAAAAGTTAGATGTCGAATATAGTCGATGGATTATAAATTTGATTAAATGTTAGGCTTTAATTTCAGTATAAAATGTTGTTTTTAAAAGGCACTTTGATATATTCCAATAATATTTATCAATTCAAATACATTTGCTTGGGCAGCCTTTAGCATATAGATATAAACAATAATAAAATTTATTTTATTTCTCTGATTTTTTAAAAAGTCATTAGATATTATCAGCAATATGTTGTTTGTGTTAATAATATAGGTACCCACTGTAAGTTACAGTTTAATCACTAAAGGATCATGTGCAGTATAAATTATGAAGGCAATTATTTTTACTGAAAAAATAGTATTAATATCATGGTTCAGCTTCAAATGATATTAACAAAAGATACCTACAAATATGATAAAAAAAATTTGAAATGTAGCCTGGGTTATATATGACTAGCACTGAAAAAAGTAGTGAGTCACATTAAAACAAATACACTTAAATATAGAATTTAGGAATATTCCCCCAACTATAACATATTATTTATTTGTGAAACATTACTTTTAAGTGATTGTCATTAAAGCCATTTTTAGTCAATTCCAAAAATTGAAGCCTGGGTTCTTCAGTGGGGATGACCCGTGAGCAGATGGGGATAACACCACATTTGCAAGACATTATGTAATCATTCCAAGAGATTGCATGTTGTATTGCTAGGTGTGCAGTACCTGAAGACTTACAACATCACCAGGGAGATCAGCCACCTAGCCAAAAATATCTACTAGCTGCAATGCACTGAGGACGTCTCTATGTTGCACCATTTATAATGGCTTCCTGAGAAAATGAAAGAGACTCTAAGAAAGCCGGTCTTATTTAGTATCCTTTACACAAGAGCATGTCTTCATGAGGGATTGGGGAACAAGCTATGACAGCTTCCTGGGAGACAGAAGTGATTACGGAGAGATTGATTTGAGCCTCCTATCTGCCAAGAGAAGAGGATTGAGTGATGCTTTGAAAAACTAAAGAACACAGGGTGTTCCTAAGAGAACTGTGTGCTATTATAAGAAAATTATTTTTCTGTACGATAAAAAGAAGGCCTGGATTGGAATCTGCTACCTTCTCTGTTTTCTTATTACAAGTACCTACTCTCACTTCTAATGGCCCCTTCTTATGTTCTGGCCTGAATTATTCTGTGGTTATAACCTTTGTGTGTTTATCTACTTTTTCATACTCCAGGATCTTCTCTCCAAATCTGCAATGCAGTTTTCTTATTCTGTACTCTATTACGTAATTAAAATGCTGTCTATCTCTCATGTGTTTGGTGAAGCTGCACTCTGCAGCTGACCTATTATGGTAACTAACACACAGACTATGAGGGCAGTAGACTTACATATCCAAGTGTCTATATTTTGTGGACCTGCTGGCATATTGGCTGGTAGACTGTCTTAGATGATGGTGGCAGAGCAGTAAGTCTTACCATGTTTTCTGGGGCATTGCGTAGGATTAGTGTATTAATCAGGATTCTCCCAAAGGACAGAACTAACAGGATAGGTGTATATATAAAGAGGATTTTATTAAGGAGTATTGACTCACACGATCACAAGGTGAGATCCCACAACAGGCCTGTAATCCCAGCTATTCAGGAGGCTGAGTCGGGAGAATGCTTGATCCTGGGAGGCAGAGGTTGCAGTGAGCACCACTCCACACCAGCCTGGGTAACAAAGTAAGACTCCATCTCAAAAAAAAAAAAAAATCTGTGGGCAAGTGACAAAGCCAGGACTTACCTATGGATTTCTTCACTCAGAAAATACTCCTCTTACAAAAAACAAAATAATTTCCAAATAGGGGAAAACTAGGGGATTTATTAAAGTTGGAGGATTAGTATGTAACTATTTTTTTCCCAAAGTTTGCCAGAGTAAAGTCTAGGCATTGTAGCTGAATCCATAAAGGCATATAAAAAAAAATAATAATAATAATTCAATGCATTCACCCCAAGGAGGGCTAGACAATGACCATGAAAACACAGCTATCCGTTTTAGAAGTGGAAAATTCTAAAACCTCAAATGTATTTTTAAATGATCTTTCAAGCATGCTAATGCCTTTCATAGGGACGGAGACTTCTTTCTATATTTTTGCTATCTGTGGCTCTCTATGGTTATACAACGGGCCCACGTGTTACATCTTCCTCCTTAAAAAGACCAAGTGCAGTGGCTCACACCTGTAATCCCAGCATTTTGGGAGGCCGAGGTGGGCGGATGAAGAGATCAAGACCATCCTAGCCAACATGGTGAAACCCTGTCTCTAGTAAAAAATAAAAAACCTGCGTGTGGTGGCATGCACCTATAGTCCCAGCTACTTGGGAAGCTGAGGCAGGAGAATTGCTTGAACCCAGGAGGCAGAGGTTGCAGGGAGCCCAGATCATGTCATCATGCCAGTGCACTCCAGCCTGGCGACAAAGCAAGACTCTGTCTTAAAAAAAAAAAAAAAAAAAGAAAAAAATTAAAGTAAGCTCCTGGAGGAGAGGGTTCATTTCTCCTGCTGCTGTGGACTCACCCACCAGCCCACCAGCCCACCAGCCCAGCCGTTCATGTGGTCATTCTTTCAGTGCCTCTTACAGCATCCTTAGGTGTCATGGGCACATTGCTCAGGATTACAAATACATAAATCAAATTCTGTGCACCAAAAGCCTGTCTATGGGGAGAGACACACGAGTAATCTTGAATTTCTGAGCTGAAGTCTGTATTAGGGGAGAGGCTGAGGCTGTGGGTATAGAACAAATAAGTTGCTAAACTCAGCACTGCATCTTCAAGAATGCTTCCAGTCCATCCCTGAAGATGAGAATGCAGCATGGTTCTGCACGTGGACCCGCGAGGAGCGGTGGTAAATTAGGTGGACAGACTCATCTGTGCCAGGATAGTAAGAAATTCTGCCAAGGACATGTTTGGTGCTATGAGCGTGGTTGGGGCCACAGTCCAGGCAGGATGAGAAATATGAGGAGGTCAAATCACAGAGTAAAAGTAACTCTCTAGGGCCACATAGTGGATCCACGGTGATGGGGAATGCCCAGGGAGCGGGGCCTGGAGAAATGAAACGTTGTAAACTCATGAGTCCTCACTGTGACTGTAAAACTGCAGGTGAAAACTTTTACCAAAAATCATCATATAACAACCGTTTTTTTTTTTTTAATTTGACTTTCTAACAAAAACGCAAATTCTGTGGCGATAAATTGCATATTACATTTATTATATTTTTATTTTATTTTATTTATTGTTATGTTATGTTATGTTATGTTATGTTATGTTATGTTATGTTATGTTATGTTATGTTATTTTTTTAGAGATGGAGTCTCACTCTGTCACCCCTGCTGGAGGGCAATAGTGATCTCATCTCACCACAACCTCCACCGCCCCAGTTCAAGGGATTCTCCTGCCTTTGCCTCCTGAGTAGCTGGGATCACAGACATCTGCTACCATGCCCAGCTAATCTTTTTTCATATTTTTAGTAGAGAGGGGTTTCACCATTTTGGCCGGGCTGATCTCAAATTCCTGACCTCAAGTGATCTACCTGCCTCGGCCTCCCAAAGTGCAGGGATTACAGCCGTGAGCCAACGTGCCTGGCTGGCCACAGATTTTGAGTAAACCTTCTCTTCTTTTGGAGGATAGGTACAGATCATTTCCAAATCTATAACATGCCAGTTAAGGAATTTTTTTTTTTAATACTTTAAGTTCTGGGATACATGTGCAGAACGTGCAGGTTTGTTACATAGGTATACACATGCCATTGTGGTTTGCTGTATCCATCAACCTGTCATCTACATTAGGTATTTCTCCTAATGCTATTCATTCCCTAGCCTCTCACCCCCCAACAGGCCCTGGTGTATGATATTCCCCTTCCTGTGCCCTTGTGTCCTCATTGTTCAACTCCCACTTATTACTGAGAACATGCAGTGTTTGGTTTTCTGTTCCTTTGTTAGTTTGCTGACAGTGATGGTTTCCAGCTTCATCCATGTCCCTGCAAAGGACATCAAGTCATCCTTTTTTATTGCTGCATAGTATTCCATGGTGTATAAGTGCCACGTTTTCTTTGTTTGGTCTATCATTGATGGGCCTTTGGGTTCATTCCAAGTCTTTGCTATTGTGAATAGTGCTGCAGTAAACATACGTGTGCATGTATCTCTGACGAAGGGCTAATATCCAGAACCTACAAGGAACTTAAACAAATTTACAAGGAAAAAACAACCCCATCAAAAAGTGGGGGAAGGATATGAACAGATACTTCTCAAAAGAAGACATTTATGCGGCTAATAAACATAGGCAAAAAAGCTCATCCTCACTGGTCATTACAGAAATGCAAATCAAAACCACAATGAGATACCATCTCACACCAGTTAGAATGGCAATCATTAAAAAGTAATCCTGCCTCTATATCTTACATAATCTGAAATGTGATTTTTTTATCGTATGTTATTCTTCTGCAAGAGAGTCACCAGCATTTTTTGAGGCATTATTTTGTGCCACGTAATGTGTTAAGCAAGTGACAAATGTTGCTTCATTTGACCTCTTTAAAGACCTTCTAAGATTTTCTTTCCTAAGACCTCATTTTCAGAGACCCTGTAAGATGATATTGAGGGTGAGGGGACTGGGCTGAGTAACTTACCCCATGCCAGGCCAAATCAGCAACAGAGCCTGCGCTCAAAAGACATTTGGACTTCAAGTACCCATGTGCTTTCTCTACTGTCCTCCCCCAAGCTCCGGCTGTGTTGCTCTTTCCTGTGACGGGAATGGGAAGACAGAGGCAGGCCATGTGGAGTGAGAAGCCTGGGCTGCAGGCAAGGGACGCGGCGCAGAAGGCAGGAGTCGGCCACTTCTCCTGCCGACTCCCTGATGTCCAGCCCCACAGTACAGCACACCCTACTTGCCTCAGTGTTTTCACAAAAGCATATACACAGATATGTATTCTCTGTCAATTCATGTCCTTATGTTCAGGCTGGAATCATTTACTTTCTCCTAATGAATTCATTTTCTTTATCCTTACCGGTGTTTCACTGATGTAGAGGGGAGAAGTGGATACGCGACTTGTATACGTCAATTGGAGAGATGCATTTGCAATTTTTTGACACACTTACCAAGTAAGAAACTGCACATGGGAGAGGCTGAAATGCCAGCAACTTAAGCGTTGCCCTCATCGCTTCACTGGGGCATGAGTTCCCCTTTACCATGGCCACAGAGTTGGGTCCAACCTGATAATTGCTTCCTGAACAGCTAGCCTCACACCTGGCTGGTGGGCTGACAGACGTGTGCTCCAGGACAGAAGGCATCAAGCAGACCCCTTGGATTCTAGAACAAAATATCACTCTGATTATTCTGTTAATTAATAGGAAGCAAATAGCCCTGCAGTTGAAGATGATTAAGCATCTTTTGTTTTCTTTTTGTTAGGTTGATGATATCTTATAGCTTCTTCCCTTTCCCAGATTAGATCTGTTATATCCACTAGATATAGCTTCTAACATAGAAACAGTTATAGAAAATTGGAATTGAATAAAATTTAGAGGCAATCTTGGTAGAATAGCCTACCTTCTTCATTTTAAAGATGAGGAAGCTGAAATGAAAAATAGTTCAACGACTTGTGCAAGACTCCTTGCCTATAGAAGGCAGAATCACCAAAACATTGTCCTGAGAAAATTGTCTAAAATTGTATTTAATAGCAATGGATTATTTTTTCTTATGACAAAGTTGACTTGGCTAAAGAAACAGTGAACGTAAAATGATTTACTATAACTATGGGTGGGGGAAAGGCTTAAATATATTTTTTAGTCATTGTCCATGCTTTAATCTCCTTTCATCTCTGTGTTTGTAAAGGGGTCCAGATAATATTGTTTCTCTAATTGCCCAGATTTCCGAAACCAATCACTTTCTTGACATAGAAACTTTTGAGTTGACCTTATCTACTGAATACTTAGAGTAAATTCTCATAAGAATCCTACTGAGCACGCATTAATTTTGTCCCCAGGTAAAGAGGAGGAAACTGGCACATGGACCGCTGATACAGTGTCTTGCCCAAGGTCAGATAGCTTGCAAGAGACAAAGCTGGGATTTGCACTGAGATATTCTCACTTAAGTCTGAGCTCAGAAATACTAAGCATGAGGACTTTAAGTTCTCAGACTTTTAAAAATTTATGTGCAAGGGTCCATGGATCATTCCTGTCTCATGGCTCTAACTGGTCACTTTTGTCACCGTTTCCCAGTGTAGGAGAGTGACAGCTGATGTGTCTCTTTCCATAATGGGAAAAGCGTAGGTGGTGGAGCATTACGGAGGCGTTCTGTCCTCTATTCGGTCTAAATAGAATGATAATTTTATTTGTTTTAAATTTTAAAATATTCATGACATAAAACTCGCAGAAAATTTTCCATAATAGATAAGCTGGAAGTACAATAAAACCGACTGAAGGAGTGATTGAATAAATCAGTGATTTTAAAATTTTCTCACACATCGCTAAAATAAGTGTCTCAGTTCATTCATCTGAATCTTTTCATTCTTAGTGTTTAGTATTTCTTTAAAAAATATTCTATTTTTTCTTTTTTTTTTATTATACTTTAAGTTCTAGGGTACATGTGCACAACATGCAGGTTTGTTACATATGTATACATGTGCCATGTTGGTGTGCTGCACCCATTAACTCGTCACTTACATTAGGTATATCTCCTAATGCTATCCCTCCCCCCTCCCCCTGCCCCATAACAGGCCCCCGTGTGTGATGTTCCCCTTCCTGTGTCCAAGTGTTCTCACCTGCCCTGGGGGAGGGGGCGCAGGTGAGCCAGGATCTATGTCTTGCATCATCTGTCACAGACACCACTTAAGTGCCTCAAATTCCTACTACCTGCTATTTCTAGACAACCAAAGAGACAAGGAGGTTGGTCATTGTTCAATTCCCACCTATGAGTGAGAACATGTGGTGTTTGGTTTTTTGTCTAGAAGGAAACCTAGGCAATACCATTCAGGACATAGGCATGGGCAAGGACCTCATGTCTAAAACACCAAAAGCAATGGCAACAAAAGCCAAAATTGACAAATGGGATCTAATAAAACTCAAGAGCCTCTGCACAGCAAAAGAAACCAACATCAGAGTGAACAGGCAACCTACAGAATGGGAGAAACTTTTTGCAACCTACTCATCTGACAAAGGGCTAATATCCAGAATCTACAATGAACTCAAACAAATTTGCAAGAAAAAAAACAAACAACCCCATCAAAAAGTGGGCAAAGGATATGAACAGATATTTCTCAAAAGAAGACATTTATGCAGCCAAAAAAACACATGAAAAAATGCTCATCATCACTGGCCATCAGAGAAATGCAAATCAAAACCCCAGTGAGATACCATCTCATACCAGTTAGAATGGCAATCATTAAAAAGTCAGGAAACAACAGGTGCTGAAAAGGATGTGGAGAGATAGGAACACTTTTACACTGTTGGTGGGAATGTAAACTAGTTCAACCATTGTGGAAGTCAGTGTGGCGATTCCTCAGGGATCTAGAACTAGAAATACCATTTGACCCAGCAATCCCATTACTAGGTATATACCCAAAGGATTATAAATCATGCTGCTATAAAGACACATGCACACGTATGTTTACTGTGGCACTATTCACAATAGCAAAGACTTGGAACCAACCCAAATGTCCAACAATGATAGACTGGATTAGGAAAATGTGGCACAAATACATCATGTAATACTGTGCTGCCATAAAAAATGATGAGTTCATGTCCTTTTTAGGGACATGGATGAAGCTAAAAAATATTCTTAGTAATGAGATGAGTAAAGGCAGAAGTTTTCCTTTTTACTTCTACAAAAAAAATATTGTATAGGTTACCTAATGTTACAAAATAGATTTCATGATGATTCACAATTGAGTTCCCCTCTAAACCACTTAAATCACCACTTTTCCACTATGTAAATTCTGTTTATTCAATTTCTATGATTTTTATAATAATAGTAATTATCATTTGTAAAACTGTAACCATGACACCAAGCTCTATGTTAGGCACTTGGTATATACGTTTGTTCAATTCTTACAACATCTTGTATGAAAATGTATATTAGAAACTCTATATCAAAGATAAGCAAAACTTCCTAAATTAGTTAAGTGTGAACATCAACACATTTATTAAGTGATGTTGCCAATATTTATTTTCAAATTATCCGACATCAAATAGTGTCATTACACTTTTATATTTATTTTAGTTTTATGGTGTTTTTAAAATTTAAGACCTTGAAAAGCATTTAAAAAATCCAGGTGTGGAGGAAGTAAATCACTGCCAACCATGAGCAACCTTGTTGAATTATCTCGAAATCTCCTATACAGTCAATCATTGCCTCCTTTCTTTTATCTTCATGACACCCCAAATTCGGAGTTTATTTATTCCAGAAACTTACTGAATATGCAGATGTAAGTTTTCCTAAGAAAAATATTAGCATGCTTTTTTGGGAGACATAGAGATATTTAGAGGCGTGGTTGAAGATGAATGAAAGATGAGGGAATGAATGAAACGTAAAGTATCTGTGTAACTGCTGCTCCATAGAGCATTATTGGAAGAGTGACTGGAAGTAACTTATTCCCCCTTTCTGGCCATGACCAGTGGTGAGAATGTGAGTACTTACCCATTCGGCACCTTCTCCTCTCTACACATGTGTAAAAACGTGTTTACTCCCCTACCTCCAGTGTTCTTGTTAGCATGCAAACTCCGGCAAGCCTCCTTGTCTCTTTGGATGTCTAGAAATAGCGGGTAGTAGGAATCTGAGGCACTTAAGTAGTGTCTGTGACAGATGATGCCAGACATAGAGCCTGGCTCACCTGCACCCTCTCCCCCAGGGCCGTCTCCCTGACAGCTCGTCCTGGGGCTGGGGGTGTTCAGAGTCCTTGAGTTTCAGCTGCCTCCCTGGCACTTCCTCTGCTGGCCGCCGCACCTATCACCTGGCCTCCGATGAGACACCTCCTTATGAGAACACAGCCCCAGGGCTCAACCCCAGGAGGAACTTGGTTGCCCTTTCTACATTTGTTAAATTATATTGTTTAATATGTAAGAATAAATATACATACGTGTATTTTTATCCACTCAACCCTCTTCCTTTCTGGTTTACATAACTTTTTGGAGATCATTCTTTTTAGTGTATTTGTAAAGAACCTCCTTAAGTAACTGTTTTTTAAATTAATCTTATTATTTGAAGTTCACCTTTCAGCCAAGTTGGTGATAAGGAGTGTGTTGATACGATACCTGAGACATTTAAAAATCTGTAAATATTTTCTCTTCCTTCTCACATAAAATAGCCTGTTTGCTAAGTAGACATACTAAGCAGAACATCGTTTTCCCTTCTATCCAGTGCTCATAGTGTTGTTGGTCCAGTACCTCTACGGTTTTGTTATGCTACCAAAAAAAGACAAAACTAACTTTGATTTGTATTTCCTCAAATATAATCTGCTTGTTCTTCTGGGTTTGTGTACAGAATTCTTCTGGTGTTGTTAGTGTGAATTCTGTGAGGTGACGTATTCCTATTATTGTCATACAGCTTTATTTCATTTACAGGGGCCATAATGAAGCACTTTTATCTTCCTTCTCAACTCTTTAATCAGTCGTGAAAGTGTATCTTCCATTATTTTTCTAATTATTGATTCTGCGCCCATAATTATTTCTCAAGAAACTTCAATATCTTTTGCTTTCATGTAGTGATCTATAATTTTCTCTCATCTTCTTTTCATCTTTTGCTCCTTCAAAGTTTCAGCGGTCACTCCACACATCTTTGGTTGATTGATGTAAATGTTAATTCTGCATTTTATCGCATCTAACAGTGTTCTGGTTTATTCTATATCCATTATTGCATTGCGACTTTTACATTCCCAGTCTCTCATTTTTTAATACTTACTCTACCCTCTTTCATACATCTGAGGGCAGATTTCAATAATTTACTGAAATCTGCCTGTGATGCTTGGGTTACTTTATTTCAGGGGTTACAGAAATTCTCCTGAAATTCTCACTAGCTTATTCTCCCATCTTATGCAGCAAAACTTTTTTTTTTTTTAACTGTTTCTCCATCACTGTTTTGTTTGCTTACTTTCCCTGGTGCACTGGTTAATCTTTGTTGTTGTGCTTAAGCATTTTCTATCTCTGCCCATTTCACTGGCATTTTGACGGGTTCTGCTTCAGAAATTTTCCTTGCCACATTTGCCACTATCATTTTCACATGACTCTCAACTTGCTACTCTCTTGAAATTTAATGAATCTCACCTTACTCCTCAAGCATCCACAATTTCTTCATCTAAGTAGTTTGTGAAAACCACACTTAAGAGAAGCAAAATACCACTACTGCAATAGAGAAGGAAGGGTGCAGGTGATAAAATTTGCCGGGAATTCAAAAGATAAGAGGTCATTTTAGATAAAATTGGAGTTAGAAATTGCAGAGTCAGAGAGAAGACAGATGAGTTTTTCTTGGTTATAAAGACTCGTGAGATTTGAAATAACAGAATACTTCAAATGGTGGCAGAATGTGCCTGGGTCTGGCAGACATGACAAGGTTTTTATGAAGGGTTGCCATGAGGATAATAATGAACACAACTGCCATTGATCAAGTGTCTGCTGGATGCCAAGAAGAAGTACACACCTTGCTTGCACTGCATTCTTGAATCCCAGAAATCCCCCAGGGAAATCGGCATCATTCTCATTTTACGGATAAGACAGAAGAAAGGTTAAACAATTCTTTCAAGACTCTCGTTGAGTAAGCAGCAAAGCCCAGACTCTCTCTTTTGTCAGTGTGATTGTACTTGTTCACTTAAAAAAAATGTTTTTTTAAAGAAATTGTTAATTAATACATAATAATTGTACCTGTTTATGGGGTACATGCAGTGTTTCAATACTGGTATACAGTGTGTCATTGATCAAATCATGGGAATTAACATATTCATCACTTCAAACATTCATCATTTCTTTGTGTTGGAGACATTTAAATTCCTGTTTTCTTGCTATTTTGAAATACACAGCAAATTGTTGTTCATGACAGTCACCCTGCAGTGCTGTCGAACACTGGAACTGATTGCACCTATCTAGCTGGACTTTCATACCCCAAAATCAACCACTTCTTGTCCACGCCCTAACCCCCGCCTCCATATTCTCACTCATGTGGAAGTTTAAAAAGTTGATCTCATCCAAGTCGAGAGTTGAACAGTGGCTACCAGGGGCTAGGAAGAGTGTGGGGGTTGGGGGGGGGCAAGGGGGGATGGGGGGAGATGGAGGGCAAGGAAAGAGGGGGGCTGCTTTTTAGGCCATTTTGAAACCACAGGTGGGCTGAGACAGGGAAAACTAAGCCAGGTCTTCTCAGGAATCCTTTCCAGTGGATGGGGGACATCCAGCTTCTTTAGCTGTCTTGAGCTGAGACTAATTCTCTCTGTAGCAGGGCAGCACAAAGAGAATTACGGTAATTTATGTACCATTTAAAGCTGACAAAAGGGACTTGGCAGGGCCCTGAGGGCGGGGATGTCAGTAATACTTAAAGGTCCAGAGAACCATCTGGGAGATTTTAGCATGAAATACCAAGTTTCTTGGCTTCCTGCCAGCTGATGCCGCCGTCCCAAGACTGCTGTGTTTTAGAGGAATTGCGCTTTTCACTGCCTGTGCAAACTTTATTTCCCACCCTGAATCACTAGCAGCTTTGACTTTTTGTAGCATAGGCTAATAGTCATATAGTTACATTTGAAATAATGTGTGAATCCTCTTCTTCATAGCAGTGCATTGAATTGTAGTTTATAAGAGACTCCTAGTGTTTATATGTGGGGCTAAACATCTCAGATAAAGCAAGGATATCCCAGAATTAATGACATATTTTTCTAACTCCCTTTCTTTGTGTGTGGGTGTGTGTGTTCAAAGTACTTTTTTCTAGGTTGAAATTCAGTCTTTGTAATTTCACACTGTATACTGTGGGCTATTGGTATGTGTTGCATACAGATATAAAAGCTTATATGTGTAATTTTTGTTAATTTATTAGGTTTTATTTTTAGAGCAGTTTGCACAGCAAAATTGATCAGAAGACATAGTTTCCCCGTACCCCCTGCCCCCACACATGCACAACCTCCCCACTGTAAGCATCCTCACCAGATGCTTTCAGCATGGTGTGTTTGTTACATTTGATGAACATGCATTCATGCTGTTCATGCATGATGAACATTGATTCATGCTGAATTACCAAAGTCCATAGTGCACGTTAGGGCTCACTCCGGCTGCTATTTACTCTGTGGATTTGGGCAACTGTATAAAGTCAGTGTCCACCATTATAACATCACACAGAGAGTTTCACTGTCCTAAAAATCCTCTGTGCTCCTGCTCTTCATCCCTCCCTCTTCTAACCCCTAACAATCACTAATCTTTTTACTGTCTCCATAGTTCTGCCTTCTCCGAAATGTCATGCAGTTGAAATGTTGCAACACGTCACCTTCTAAAATTGGCTTGTTTCACTTGGTAAAATATATTTAGTTTTCCCCCATGTTTTCTCATGGCTTGACAGCTCATTTCCTTTTAGCCCTGAATAATATTCCACTGTCTGGATATACCACAGTTTATCCATTCACCTGCTGAAGGACATATTGGTTGCTTCCTAATTTTGGCGATTATGAATAAAGTTGCTATAAACGTACATGTGCAGTTGTTTGTTGTGTGGAAATACTTCTTTTTTTTTTTTTTTTTGAGATGAAGTCTCGGTCTGTCCCCCAGGCTGCAGTGCAGTGGCGCGATCTCAGCTCACTGCAAGCTCCTCCTCCTGGGTTCGCGTCAGTCTCCTGCCTCAGCCTCCCGAGTAGCTGGGACTACAGGCGCCCACCACCATGCCCGGCTAATTTTTTTATATTTTTAGTAGAGACGGGGTTTCACCACGTTAGCCAGTATGGTCTCGATCTCCTGACCTCGTGATCTGCCAGCCTCAGCCTTCCAAAGTGCTGGGATTTGTGTGGACATACGTTTTTAGCTGTTGGTGTTAAATTCCAAGATATATGATTATTTCATTATTTGATAAGCATATAGTTGGTTATGTAAGAAGCTTCCAAAGTATCTTCCAAAGTGACTGTACCATTTTGCATTCCCATCAGCAATGATTGTTGTATGTGTTCTTTTGTAGGAAATTTAAACGTATATTTATCCAGTATCTATGGTAGATATATTTGGTCAGTTTGTCTCCTTATCATTAATTACATTTTTAGTTGTTTTATGATTGGCCCTTACAACCTCAGGTGAAAACAAGTAAAATTATTTGATAATATTTATTTTCTAAGAAAGTGTGCATTTTCTTTTAAAATGTGTAATCGTTCTTCTTGCAACCGTGTTAATAATTTCCAGACATAAACTTGTTATCATGTTTTTTATGAGGAAATTCACTGTTTGAAAGGCCTTTCTTCTGATACATAATTTGAAGTGGAATGAATCAGATACATTATAGCGTCAGTTTTCCAGTGTTCCTTCCAGTGTGTTCTGAGTTGTCATTTCTAACCCATTAATTTCAAACCTACAGTTATTAATTAAAGCATTTATAAATTATCTTATTCCAAGATGTAGGGTCTTGGTACTGATTTATATTGTGCTGTCAGTTCTAAATCTTGGAAAATTATAAAATATTTTTCCTATTCATTTGCCTGCCATCACAGTTTCTGACACAAACATGTTATTCAGAAAAACAAATGTAGTTTACGGAAGAACATCAAAAGGAAAAACTTAAAAATAGTGCTATCAAGGAAGAAACCCAATGATGCATACATTTTTCTTGGGGTGTGTGTGTATGTGTGTGCATGTGTGTTTCTGTGCCTGTGTGTGTGAGCATGTGTGTATGCACATGCACAGAGGCAAAGATCATAGAGATCAGTTGATATATTTGGATTCTTTTGGTTTAACTGAATCAGGAGAAGTGGTCTCTCTATTTGAATGGACCCATATCAAATGAATTTTTTTCAGTAAATTGAAACTATATAGTATATTTTATTTTTGATTTTTGGGAAATCTTTTCATTTTGTTTATAAATTAATATTTTGTCAAGGAAAATACATATTATTTGAATCAAAGTAGCAACAATATTTCTTTCCTGCAAAATCATTTATATACTTATTGAATCATTCTTATTCTCTTGCAATATTCTCCATTAAAAGAAAAAATCCTCTCTGACACATTCTTACTTCTCTTCATCCATGTTAGTTAAGATACCTGAGAGATCTGCAGAACCACTTACTCCGCTTCCTCACATCCCATTCTGCCAATCCACTTTAGCGCTTCTTCCATGCCTACAACTCTGCTGTTCTTTCTTGCCATGGTTATCCATGTCCTCCATCCAGTCAAGCCCACACGTCTCATCTTAGAGCTCATCTAATTCACATTCTTAGTAGCATTCAACACATGTGATCACTCCCTCCTCCTTAAGATCTTTAGTTTTATGGATTTTTCACAAAACACCATATTCTTGGTGTCCTCCCTACCACAGATTCTTTTTTCTTTGTCATTTCTTCCTCAATTCCTTGACCTCTAAATATGAAAGAGACTGCAGCTCATCCTCATTCCTCTTCTTTTCACGTGCCTTCCTTTGATACTCTGACAGAGTCTTAGTATTTTAGGTGGCATCTGTGGTTAGGGACCCCCATTTCTGTGTGTCTGGTCGTGAACCTCTCCCAAGCTCCATACTGTTTTTTTCTAAATGCTCACTGGCCACAGTGGCTTGACGTACCATCTAGAAATGTCTAAAAGTCATGCAAAGCTTAGCAGACATCGAGATGTCTAGCTAGAGTGCCCAGCACTTTCCTCCTTCACAAAGAGGAACCAAAATGACAAGTAGGTAAGCACATGTCAAGTGCAGTGTCTAGGGGAGAACACTGTACTGAAGCAACAGAGTAAAGAAGACCCTCTAAGGCATGGAAACTCAAGATGGCAGCATAAAGATGAACGTGAAGTGCGCAGGTAGGATCCGTTCAGTGCCAAAAAAGGACTCCCGATTGTAGGGAGAAGGTAAGTGGGAGATCCCCAGCAGGTCACACTCCCACCCCAGATGCCTGTATTCAGGGCTTCAGAAAAGCCCCCACAGGCCTCATAGGCCCTGAGCCAAGGGTAGGGAGCTACCTGCAGCCCACATGACTGTTTTGCTCCGGGGAGAGAACTCACACCGGGTTCCTCTCTTGTTCTCTGGGCCTCAGGCTGCTGCAGCATGGTGCCATTTTCAGGACAGAAGAACTATCAGAGTACATCCTGCCCACAGGGCCAGTAGCATCTCCACATCTTGAGAACGCAGCCATCATCCCACCACAGCCAAGGAGAAGGATGCAGGACTATGACCCCAGCTGCACTCAGTGACACAAACCTGAACCCAGCACTCAAGACCATGAAGTACCCTATACCACAAGTCGTCAAGCAGAGTCGGGAGGCCACTCTCAAGACAGGGGGAGCCAAAGTGCATGCTCCCAAGACCCTGAGAGCTGAATTCTTGAGGCACACTACCAACAAGCACCCTGGATATATGCCTCTTGCAGGAGACCAAGGACTGGCCTTTTGGGTACTGCTGCCAGCAGTGAACACTCCCCCCACTCCAAGCAGTGGAGTTGCTGAATGCTCACACATGCTCCCCAGGGACCCAAGGACCAGCCCACCTGAGGCCAACCACTGCCAGAAAACTCATTCCACTGAGAAGCAGAGATGGCTCATGTGACCTTCTATATCCCCAAAACAAGGCCACCCCAAAGTCTCCATCTGCATTAGAGCTGAACCAACACTTCCACAAACACCTGCAGCCAAGGCTACTCAGACAGCTACAAACATGCAGACATTGATTACAACCAAATAAATATCATGAAGACTGCACTACTGTACTCATGCAGAATACAAACCAAAGCACCCTACCCAACTGACACTATGAGACACATCTACAGGAAAAAGTTTTTTCCTACTAAAACTACATTCTAATATTAGGAGAAATTGTTTTGTCAGATGTATAGATACTAATGTAGGAACACAAGAAATGTCTAAAAAGCAAGAAACATGACACCCCCAAGGGAACAAAATCATTTTCTAATTCCATATCCCAAAGAAAAGGACAGCTACAAAATGCCTATATGATTTTTAAAATAATGATGTTAAAGATACGCCGTGAGAATCAGTAGAATAAAAATAGACAATTCAAAAAGTAGGAAAACAATTCATGATCTGAATGAGAAATTCAACAGAGATATTACACAAAAAGAACTAAGCAGAAGTCTTGAAACTGAATAATAAAATGAATACAATTTAAAAAATAAAATCAAGAGCTTCAACAACAGACTAGATCAAGATGAAAAAAGAATTTCTGAACCTGGAGACAGGATTTTCGGAATAAGCCAGTCAGACAAAAAAGAATAAGTAAGAATAAGGAATGCCTACAAAATGTGTGGAACAAAATGCAGGGGACAAATATTCCCATTATGGGAGTTCTAGAAGGAGAAGAGATCAGAAAGGTGTAGGATATCTATATAATAAAATAACAGCTGAAAACTTCTCAAATTTTTGGAGAAATATGTGCATTCAGATCCAGGAAGCTCAAAGATCACCAAACAGATCTAATGCCAAAGATGCTCTCCAAAGAGCATTATAATCAAACTATCAAAAGTCAAAGACAATTCTTCCTTCTCTCCTGGTGATTTTGTAATTTTCCCAAGAAAAAGAAAAAAGAAAAAATTATTTGAGGTGATGGATATCACAGTTCTCCTGATTTGATCGTTAAACTTTGTATACATGTATCAAAGTACCACATATACCTCCAAAATATCCACACCTTGATATAGCAATATAAATACATAATAAAAAACTTCAAAGACAAAGAGAAGTCTAAAAACAGCAAGACAAAACAGTCAAGTCAAATATAAGCAAGAAGCTCCCAGACTAACATTAGATTTCTCAGCAGAACCGTTACAGGCTAGGGGAGAACAGGGTGATATAATGAAAATGCTGAAAGAAAAAAGAAGAAGAAATGTCAGCCAAGAATACTATACCCAGCAAAGCTATACATTAGAGTTGTAAGAATAAAATTATTCCCGGATGAGGAAAAGCTAATAAAAATTTATCACTACTGGAATGGTCCTACAAGAAATGCTTATGGGAGCCCTTCATCTGAAAGTGAAAGGGTGATAACCACCATTGTGAAGACACACAAAAGAGTAATATTCACTGGTAGAGCAGACAAATAAATGAGAAAGAAGTAAAACCATATCACTACAGAAAACCACCAAACCACAAAAATAACCAAGAAGAGAATGAGAATGGAATAGAGGATGTGCAAAACAACCAGAACAGAAATAACCAAGTGACAATATAATTTAAAAAGCAATATCTAAGTGCATACTGCCTATAAGAAACTCACTGCACCTGTAAAGGCATAGACTAAACTGAAGACATTACAAGAGATAGTCCATGCAAACAGAAACCAAAAACTAGCAGGAATAGCCATACTTTTATCAGATAACATGGACTTTAAGTGAAAAAATGTGAAATGGCTGGGTATATTGACCCTGTAATCCCAGATACCTAGAAGGGTGAGACATGAGAATTGCTTAAACCCAGGAGACAGGTTGCAGTGAGCTGAGATTGCACCACTGCACTCCAGCCTGGGTGACAGAGCAAGACTGTGTCTAAATAAATAAATAAATAAATAAATGGAAAGTGAAACAAATGTAAAATGAGACAAAGACAAAAATAATGTATAACAATTGTAAACATATATGCACCCAACACCAGAGACCCCAGATATATAAAGCAAACATTATTGATGGGAGAGATAGACTCCAATATAATAATAGATGTGGACTTGAACATCCTGCTACTCTCAGCATGGAACAGATTATCTAGACAGAAAATTAATAAAGAAGTGTTAAACTTAAACTATAGTGTAGACCAAATGGACCTAACGGACATTTACAGAACATTTCATCCAACAGCTGCATAATACACATTTTTCTCATCAGTACATGGTATGAATATTCTTCAGGACTGATCGTATGTTATCCCACAAAACAAGGGTCAACAAATTTTTTAAAAATCTAAATCATATCAAGTATATTTTTTGACTGTAACAGATAAAATTAGAAATAAATAACAAGAGAAACTTTCAAAATTGTACGAATACATGGAAATTAAACATGTTCCTGAGTGTCCAATGGGTCTATGAAGAAATAGGCCAATGGGTCTATAAAGAAATTAAGAACAAAATTTAAACATAATTTTTTTTTTGAGACGGAGTCTCACTCTGTTGCCCAGGTTGGAGTGCAGTGGCGGTGGTGATCTCAGGTCACTGCAACCTCCACCTCCCAGGTTCAAGTGATTCTCCTGCCTCAGCTTCCCGAGTAGCTGGGGCTATAGGCACACGCCACCATGCCAGGCTAATTTTTGTATTTTTAGTGGAGACAGGGTTTCACTCTGTTTGCCAAGCTGGTCTCGAATTCCTGACCTCATGACCCACCCTCCTCGGCCTCCCAAAGTGCTGGGAAATGAAAATAGAAATACAACATACCAAAACCTATGAGATATAGTAAAAGCAGTGCTAAGAGGGTAGTTTATAGCATTAAACACCTATATCAAAAAAGTAGAAAGATTTCAAATAAACACTCCTAGCTCTGTGGCCTGGAGGAGTTGATGTTCAGTGAGTTCTTGTAGGTTGAGGCCAGTGCTTCCCTCCACGAGCAAGCCACATGGTGTCTGCCCTCAATCCTTACAGGGAGCTCTGCAGGGCAGGCAGAACAGCAAACCAACCAAAACTGCCAACACAGGGAATGTTATGAAGGGGATAGGCAGGATTTTGGCAAAGAGACTGGCTTTCTTGGACAGAGTCGGCAGTGGAGCCATAGCTGAGGGAGGAACATTAAGCAGGCACTTAAGAAAAATGGCAGGAGTAGAAAACCAAACACCGCATGTTCTCACTTACAAAGGGGAGCTGAACAATGAGAACACATGAACACAGGGAGAGGAACAACACACATCGGAGCCTATTTCGGGAACATTGGTTGGGGAAAGCTTCAGGGAAAAGAGCTAATGCATGCTGGGCTTAATACCTAGGTGATGGGTTGACAGGTGCAGCAAACCACCATGGCACGTGTTTACCTATGTCCCAAACCTGCACATCCTGCCCATGTACCCCGGAACTTAAGGAAAGATAAGATAATTATATGTAAAAAAAGAAATATGGAGCATCCAGCTCCAGGACAGCTGAGGGAGTCCATGCAAGACATAAGGAGGGTGCATATGCTGTAGGAACTAAAACCATTTTGGCTCAATGTCATTAAAGTTGCTCACAACTTGAAATGTATTATCCTTTTGTCTTCAGTTTTCATTTGCATCTCTGGTTCTTTTACTCTGAAAGGATGGTATATGTGGTTAAAATACACATACTTCTATTTTACAGCTGCATATATTTGTAAAATGCCATATGACAAACTAAAAGCTGTCTATGCAAGACCAAGGCTGCATTTTCTGTTTTTACTGAGCATCAGCAGCGTGGAGTAAAGATTGGTGTTTGACAACAGGACCTGCTGATTGTTGAGATGAAATACTGACAAAGACTTTCTCTGTCTACCTTTGCCTTGGCTTGAAATAATTACAGAATGGCCCTTTTTCCACCCCTAATGAGAGCCCATTCATATAGTGTGACCCCTATCTGTACACATTGCAAATCAGCCAAACATGACACACAAACCTTAATGAATTATCATCGCTTCCCACCAGAACTTTAAACAAGTCAGGACTGAGTTAACATGTCGGAAAGGAAACCAGCAGGTCTCAGTGATGATTCTTTCAGTTTTAAAATTGTCTGATTATCAGATGATGGTCACTTATAAATTGGTTCATGAGAAACAAAAAGTAGAAATAAAAATATCAGGTGCTACGTTTAACATGCAGTATTTATACTGGTTTGCAACAGCTATCAACCTCGACACCTATTTCAAATGAGATTGCTAAAATAATGTATTCATACAAATACTGCAATTTGAAATAGTAGGTTTTTTAAATAAATTATAATGGCTATATTAATAATTTTAGTAAGAATTTCAAGTAGCAAATGTAATGTATTCCTTTTTGGCATTGCTTGGAAAAGCACCTGTTTAGAGCCTGTTGGAATGGTGGACATGGACTTGGGTATTAGTGGGAAGTCTGTCTTCTCTATGCTACCACTTACTCTTTTCTTTCAAGCTTAACAAACAGGCATTTGATACTTTTCTACGCTATTTCAGAATTTCTGTTTCATTCTAAAACACAGTTTATTAAAATGTACTTCCAGTATTATGGTTTCTGTTCCTCCTGTCCCTTCTCTCTTCCGCCTTCCTTTCTCACACCCTCTGCGTCTCTCTTGTTACATCTCTCTCTCTCTCATTTATATATTCATGTATCTGTGTATCGTCTGTCATTTTTCCATCCACCCATCCATCCATCCAGTCTGTCATCTATCTACTATCTGTCATCTATCTATCTATCTATCTATCTATCTATCTATCTATCTATCTATCTATCTATCATCTAATCTGTCTGTATCTGCTAATCTTCTACCATCCATCTAATCTATCATCTATCTATCATTCCTCTAATTATCATCATGTATTTATCTTCTTTCCTTTTTCTCCTTACTACCCAGGGTTCTAGCCTAACTTTTTCTTCCTCATAGTATTGGCCACCAAAGGAAGCATTTCTTCTTTCAGGAGAAAAAGATCTTGTGCTCTACAGAAAGAAGTTAATAGATTATAATATACTGGCACATCAAACATAAACCATTGTTGTACAGATGTCTTGGTGCTGCTCATCATGACAAAGTATTCTTTGTAAAAAAACAAACAAAAAACTTACAGGCTTTGCAAGACTAAATATAGAGGAGAGCTTTGTATCCTCATAAAGTCTTTTGGGGTGCTAATATGGATAATTCCATGAAGTATGCATATAGAACTTTAAAAATATTTATTGCAGAGCATTCTGGATATGGTAAAAATATATGTCATTAACTATAACCAACATTTCTTTTGCTAATATTGATTTAGTTAAGCACTGAGAATGTTAAAGTAAACATTTAGTAGATATTTGGCTTAAAGTGTTGCAGAGGTTAAATTTCATTTTTAGAGGTGAAAATACATAAGTTGGGAGTAATAGCAATTCTGAATTTCATAAAATTCTATAATGCCAGGCTATCAAATATATATAATTATCCATGTAACTACTTAAAGCAGCTCTGGGATCATTTGACATTGGCATTAAGGAGCAAAATTTAACAGTATAACTAGATATTTGCAATACCTATTAAAAGTCATGGGAAGTACCTGTTGTTCTAAGTCACTGTTTCGTACCTTGTATTTAGGTCATCAAGCTTGCCTTTGAAGAGTTTGAGCTGGAGCGAGGCTATGACACCCTGACGGTTGGTGATGCTGGGAAGGTGGGAGACACCAGATCGGTCTTGTACGTGTGAGTATGTCCTTGAGCTTCTTCTTCTCTTATGCATGCAGTGCGGGGCACGGTGGGTGGAGATGAGATTCTGCTACAGGCTTGTAATTCGGCCTCAGGTGTTTGCTTAGTGCCATCTATGGCTAATGTAGTGGCCTGCAATCTCATTTTGTATGAGAACACATTATGAGTATAATTTAGGAGTATGTGTTATCTGTTTCGACTGTTTTTCTTCAATTATTAAAAACATATATGTTTATGGCAAAAAATTAGTATACTCATGAGGTAGCAAAAAACAATAAATTTTTCAAATCAACCCCTCCGCCCCCCCTTTTTTTTTTTTTTTTTTTGAGACAGGTTCTTACTCTATCACCCAGGCTGCAGTGCAGTGGTCAGATCTCGGCTCACTGCAACCTCCGCCTCCCGGGTTCAAGCAATTCACCTGCCTCACCCTCCTGAGTAGCTGGGATTACAGGTGTGTGCCATCATGCCAGGCTAATTTTTGTATTATTATTAGAGACAGGCGTTTGCCATGTTGGCCCGGTTGGTCTCGAACTCCTGACCTCTGGTGATTTGCCCACTTCAGCCTCCCAAAGTGTTGGGGATTACAGGTGTGAACCACCGCACCCAGCCAACACCTCTTTTTTAACCTCTCTCCTCTGCTTCCCTGTGATGTTATATTATCAGGGTTTTTAAAGAGGTACAGATGCTTTCTAGTCTGGGAAATACAGGTCTTTTTTGGAATAATGCCATACACCTTTCCAGACTTCCTGTAAAACTGCGTAATAAAGTAACAGACATGGGGGGGAAAAGTGTTGGGGGTGACTCAGTGTACCTTTGAAGAACTCTGATTCCAGAGTCTTAGCAAACACGGTGACAGCCTTGCTGTGAATATTTGCAGACTGATCCCACTTCTCAGTTTTCACCAGGATCACAGACTGTTCTGCAGCCTTATGACCTGGGCATCTGCTTCAGCTACTTCCAGAGAGAGGGCCTCAAAGACAGTTTTTGTCCATTTTATCACACCTGGTTTATGAAAATTAGGAAAATGATTTGAGGGTGTACTTCCTCTCTGTTTTTAAGAGAAAGGAAATACCTGCTCTTATCTGCCTTTGCAACTCCACAGATAGCTTCTCTTCATGTTGTAGATCTTGAAACCACTAAACCAGAAGCGTCTTTCATTAATGGAAAGTGTTCTGCAGGTGTTCACCTTGCTTTCTTTGTCTACTTATATACTACTGAGGATGCCTCTTTGTGGGAAAGAGAGTTTCTGTGGTGCCAGATGAGCTGGTCTGCCCTATGTGAGACACCCATGGGGAGCCATGGGCGGCTTCTGAGGAGAAAAGTCTCCTTATTTCCTTCATGTCTTTATGCTCTGAGAGCAGAAGAGCTCAGCGGCATGCCACTGGTTGCTTGGGGAAATAACACTCCACTGAAGCAATGGAGAATAATCAAACATCTTGGCTTCTCCTGAAACCCACGCCCACCCGTTTCAGTCCCAATAGGTTAAAGATCTTAAGTAGTTCAGACACACGCCTTTGCTGGAGGAAATTCACATACACCTTGTTGAATGACTCACAAGTTCTCCTTCACTGATTAATCCTTTTCCTCATCCCTTCCTACCCCTCCCATTTGCCCTGAGAACAAAGAGCTTGTAAACCAATAAATTGGGTGGAGGCCGGGACCTCTGGGCTGTGAGCAAGCCTCCGGATCCTCAGGTCCCCTGGACCCGCCTTTTAAACTCTCATTCTGTCTCTTTCTAACTCCTTTGTCTCCGCTGGACTCGGGGTACCCGCCGGGTGGTGTGGGGCTGGTTTCCCTAACACTCTTCATTTGTGAGGAATCTTGCCCCGGGTAGCATCCCATATTTCCATGCTAGTAAAAAGATGCAGTCTGTTATACTCACCTTATCCCCTTATTTATTGATTACTTATGAGATAATTCACACATTGAAAAAGCACTAGCCAACTGTTCTGTATATTCCCTTAAAAATCGATGGACCCAGAAGAGGACTCCACCAGGGACACGACTCCTTCATTCGTCGAATCTTGGACATTTTGCAAGAGAACACCTCCCTCTAGCTTATCTTCCTGCTGGCCCATTCCAACTATTACTAATAAGCATAATTGAAATCATGTTGCTGGACCACAACTTATTATAATAATGATGAGAATAACACTAGTAATGTCCTAGCTAACTTTTATGTATCTTTTACGCACCATGCACTGTGTTAAATGCATAATACATTTTACCTTATTTGATCTTTACTATAATCCTGGGAATTTGGGTCTAATAATATCATTGCTTTATCATTGATGAAGCTGAAGTTTTGATAGGTTAAAGGATTTACCCCAGTTCACAAACCTAGTGTACATTGAGGCAGGGATTCCAACTCAGTGATGTGATACTGCTCCAGGATCTTGAGTCTTTATCGCCTGTGGACCTACCATGCTTTTTACCTGGTTCCCTTTGACAGTCTTTTGCATCTGACACTCACGCTCTCACCGCATTCTTTCACTTCTATAAGCAGCTGTGAAGTGAATATCTTTGTATGTAGACATTGGCATACTTTTTTGCTATACCTTCAGGAACATTTCCATTGAGGAATTTGGGGATGAAGAGGCATCTTCATTTACATTGTTACGTTTCTCCAATTATCCCCCCTGAAAATTTATATAAACCTCAGTGGAACATGAAGGATCCTATTTTTCTGCACCCTTGCCAAATAATGACTCTTTTTTGTTGACAAATTACTAGGTAAAAAAAAATTTTTTTCTTTTTATTTTTAAAAACAGAGTCCTACATCTGAGGGCCCAGATATCTATATTTTGGGCAAGCTTCTAAGGCGATCGTCGCACACACTGCCTGCCTTTGACCTGGGACAGGGTTGGGAACAGCACTACAGTGGATAGAAAGGGGCCTGCAAGTCAAAGATAGAGTTTCTGGCTCCAGCTATTTGCTATCCCCATGACCCTGAGGGAAGTCATTTTCCTTCTCTCTGCCTGTCTTTTCCTGGCTATAAAATATGTATAATAAACTTTTCCAGCCTGTGGGAAATAGAAAAATGAAATAATGCATGCAAACACTCCGGAGAGCTGAAAAATGTAACCCACACGTATTATTATTACCAAAACACCTAATTTAAGAGAGGATGTCACTAAAATAAATGAGAAAAATTGTTAAATAACTGCAAAATTTAAAATATAAATGCAGGCAGGTAATGCCTTATGAAATCCCTTAGGTTATTATTAAAGATCTAAAATCATACACTCATTTTTTAATGCTATTTGTTGTTAAGAAAGCAATTGCAAACTATGTATTACATTGACAGAAGTGTTATTAGCGCCTTCTCTCAATAGCTTGAATCTGTAAATGAAAAACTAAACAGCCAACTGAATCAAACTGAGATGCCCTTTGGGAAACATAATGCAGCCGGGATCAGCTGGGCATTTAATCAGCTGCAGAAGAGGAAAGAAAAGCCACTGATATATGTCCTTAGTGTACCAGATCACAGAAAAATAACCGAACACAGAGAATCACAGCTAGTCTCTTTGAATAAACAGATAATTTTAGGCGATACATCGACAAATACTTTTGAGTACTTATATGCAAACATTCTTCCCAGCATGGAGTCTATCATCTAATTGGAGAAATGACAGATAGACTGGAATAGTTTAAATACTAGTCAGTATACGAAGTCAGAGGATCACATGACACACATTTTACATAAAGCAGCAGTTTAAAACCTCTTCATGGCAGACTGGCATTCACTACTTCAAACTCAATATTTTGTGGGTTTCCATTTTGTGGGAAATATGGAATTCTAGTTACATCTCGATTTTAAGAGAAATTTGGAAAATGAAATAGCCTAAAACTATATAGCTCACCCTAAATACGGTTTTAAAAATTCTTATTTCTGGCAATGACTTCTCATTTTGTTAATTTTTATGGCACAATATAAAAGAATAAAAACATGAAGGGACTCCTTCTGTAATCCACCTTCCCTGAGAGGTGGTTGAAGGAACTTGGGTCATATTTATAGAATGTCAGGCTTAAAAGAAAGTTAAGTAACTTTCTTTGCAAATGTCTGTTGAGTTCTTTCCAAGTACATCTATTGAGACTGTTCTCGAATTTGATTTGTGGAGGAACTGCATGGAGAGCTATGGCCTTCCCTGGATTCCCTCTGGCCTTTGCAGCTATTAGCCATTGGTAACCAGGGGATTTCATTAATTCAGGACGTTCTGTGGGTGGCAGGCACAGGTTACAGTTTTAAAATGCCCGTCCCTCTATGAGAATGAATAGTCAATATTATTAGGGACATCTGTGAGCAAGTAGGGTAGCCTCTGCCTAACCAGATGTGTGGATTAACAAATCAGGATACTGGTTCTTTCTTAGGGCTGGATTAATCCATTTTTGCTGAATCTACTTCTTGCTCCCAGACACTGCCTGGCATGGCTGAGACGTCATTTCTCCCTGTTGTTTTCTGCTGATCCTGAGTCAAAGGGTATCATTCTCTTTTTATTAAAAGACTGCTGAAGAGCCATTAAAAAGCAGACACTATGCACAGACGTGTGTATTTGTGTGTGTATCTTTATATATCTTTAATGTTATCACAGAGTTAATCACTAAACATGTAGTGCCTTGGGGGAAAGCATAAACAATTGATGTTGGTAATAAAGATATAAAGATATTGACTTAAATACATTTTCGGTTTTAAAAAAATCAGAAAACATGATTAGAAATCAAACCAAATAGAAATAAGATTCTTAAAACTCTGGAATCACATGATCCCAATTATTTTTCTGTATATTATCTTTCACATAATGGCACTGCCTTTGAGCCTGAATGCCAGTGACAGTATAGACAGACTCAACTGTTTGAACCCTGTTCTTGACTTGAAGTCTATCCATTGTTAGCTTTTCTTTCCCGGCCTCTTATCTGGAAGCGTTCTTGCTTGATTCTTTAAATAATTATTTATTGAATGCCAAATATTATGCTAGGACTCAGCGAGGAGGCAGAGAGAGAATAAGCCATTGTCCTAGCCTTGAGGAGGAATTAGCCTACTGATATACATTTCATATAATTAGCAGTATGAATCTACATTATTAATAGTAAGAGTGCTAATACTGCTATAAATTTTGTATTACATTTTATACTGCAAGAAGCATACTATCTTCCAGATACATTTATCTATCGGTTTTAGCCTTGAATGTAAAAGGTCAAAAGACATGTTATTGGCCAGGCATGCTGGTATACGCCTATAATCCCGGAACTTTGGGAAGCCGAGGAGGGAGAAATACTTGAGGCCAAAAGTTTGAGACCAACCTGGGCAACAGGATGAAACTCCGTCTCTACAAAAAAACAAAGACAAAAATTAGCCGGGTGTGGTGGTGCATGCCTGCAGTCCCAGCTACTCAGGAGGCTAAGGTGAAAGGGTCGATTGTGCCCAGGAGATCAAGGCTGCAGTGAGCTATGATGACCCCACTGCACTCCAGCCTGAGCAACAGAGCAAGACACTATTTCAAAAAGAAAAATAATAATAATAATAATAATAATACTATGAGTTTCTAAACATTTATTTGGTTTGAGTTTAGAAAAAAAAAGTCACCTCTTCTAAGTATATTTTGATTGCGTTTGTAGGGTCTTTTTTTTAGTCTTCTGTGTCTGGAAAGTAAATTACTCATAAAATACACATCTCTAATGGGATGCAAACAAGTTTAAAAACAAAACCATTAATATCAAAATGTTGATGGGATCTTGTTAGAAAAAATTGGTAATGTTACTAAGTGAGGTTTCAGCAATGCCTTGAGGATTTTTACGATTTCTGGGAAATCACAAAATATTCCATGGGATTCTTTTAGCACTTAGTGTAATTTGTAAGCTTCCAGGAACTCTTAAAAACATTCACAGCTAATTTCAGCATTAAAAAGGGACCCGCCTTCTTGACAATGTGTTTGTAGGCACCTCCTTTGAAAATTCTATCTGGCAATTCCATTATTCTAAGTAGATAAACGTTAAGAATTCTAAATATTTATACACCAAATTTACCCGATACTTTGGTGGATGTAGAATACCCTCCTTGTGACTAGATGTATCGATTTATATATGCTATTCCTAAAATCTGCCTTAAATTTATACTGATAGGCCGGGCATGGTGGCTCATGCCTGTAATCCCAACACTTGGGGAGGCCGAGGCGGGCAGATCACGAGGTCAGGAGAACGAGACCATCCTGGCTAACATGGTGAAACCCTGTCTCTACTAAAAATACAAAAAATTAGCCGGGCGTGGTGGCGGGCGCCTGTAGTCCCATCTACTTGGGAGGCTGAGGCAGGAGAATGGCGTGAACCCAGGAGGTGGAGCTTGCAGAGAGCCAAGATCGCGCCACTGCACTCCAGCCTGGGAGACAGAGCTAGACTCTGTCTCAAAAACTAAATAAATAAAAAAGTATGCTGATAATACATCAATCACTGTTGTCTGAAGAGAGCGGCCCAGTTACTGGAATAACCAAGTCATTTCTGTATAATGCTAGTACACTCTTAGCCTTCTCCTGTAGTAATGGTTACTTGGCCTGGTTAGTAGAATGTTGTTATGCCAGGTAAGTGCTTTTGTGTCACCTTCTGTGTGTGAGAGGTTCAGGATCAACTCCCCAGGATCAAGGAGGATTGAGTAGCAAGCTTCAGGATGGCTAGGGCTGCCCAACCTTCGTCATTAGTACTGGACAGTTCAGACATTGCCAGATCTCTCTGGACACCCTGTGTGGTTTGGGTTTCCTCTTCCAAGAACCCTGTTGGTAGGGGGATAAACAAACCACTGGGCTTCAGCATTTTGGATTTGGGCTAGCAGCTGCAGTGGAGCTATCTGGGAAAGCCAGCAGAGTCAGGGACCTTGGGGACCCATTGGATGTGTCTTGAGGGCAACCTTCCTACAGGGAAGAAGAAGCCATAGGTCCCACAGGAATCGGAGCCCGAGGGCAGCTGCTGCTGCAAATAAGGTGGTGCTCCATTTCAGCTAATCTGGGCTCCAGGCAGCTGAGTGAACAGCAGGAGTCATTTCCAGTTGTTCTGGCTGTTCTATCACAGGTGTAGACTCACTGTGGCTATTTTCTCTGAGGAGCCAAAAAATGCATGCCTGTTTTTACAGACCCAAAAGACCCAGGAATCTCTTCCAGAATTCATCAGTCAAAAGCATTTAAAGATTTTTATTGTTTGTTTTTCATCTCAAATAAACATCGAAGGATGCTACTATTTTGGGGAGATAAGTCCATTAAAACAATAGATGCATGCATTTACAGTGCACCATCCCTGACTCCCTCTCTTGTGCCTTTTACCCTCAATGGATTGTTGCATCAAATAGAATGGTAGATAAAAAATAGTTTTAAAAAGATTAAAAGTACAGTACAAGGAGAAGGTAATATTGTATTACTATAGTTATCATCGCTGTCTTAATATAATAAAACATCCAGAGTTCTGCCATGTTCAGAATCAAATTTGAAAATGAAATATAACAGAAAGAAACAAGGAAAGAGGAGATTGAACTGTCATTTAATGCACCAGTATTGTTTCTTGACAAAATTGTGACAAAGATATCATTTCTATCTGCCAAGTGAAGACAAGGAGAACTCGAATCGATAGTCACTGAGGAAAAAAATGCTGCCTAATCGCTCATTGAACCCCTGGTGTTAATACGAAGGGATCTTTATAGACTTCGTCCGGATCTCCAGTGGAAATGTTTTGCAAATCTACAGTAAAATGTCACAACCAGGATATTCACCTTGATATGATCCACTGATCTTATTCAGATTTCCTGTTTTATTTTATTTTATTTTATTTTATTTTATTTTATTTTATTTTATTTTATTTTATTTTATTTTATTTTATTTTTTTGAGGCTGAGTCTCGCTCTGTCACCCAGGCTGTAGTGCAGTGGCACAATCTCAACTCACTGCAACTGCTGCCTCTCAAGTTCAAGGGATTCTCATGCCTCAGTCTCAGGAGTAGCTGGGATAACCAGCATGCGCCACCACACCCAGCTCATTTAATTTCCTGTTTTATTTGTATTCATTTGTGTTTCTCTCTCTCCCTCTCTCTCTCTCTCTCTCTCTCTCTGTGTGTGTGTGTATTGTTATGAAGTTCTATACAATTTCACTACCTGTTTAAGTTCCTGTATCCGCCACAGTCAAGACAGGTAATTTCTAATACCCCAAAGTTCCCTCATATTTTCCTTAATAATCATAGCCAACTCCCTGTTTTCTACACTTAAAGCTGACCCCTGCCAAACATTATCTGCACTCCAGCTCTAAAAATTTGTCATTGCAAGAATGTTATATAATTAGAAGCACGTAGTGTGTTACCTTCTATGATTGCTTCTCACTCAGCAAAATTCCCTGGACTTTGTGTACTGCAATCGTTTCCTCCCGTTTTTTGCTGGCTGGTATTTCAAGGTATGAATGTTCCACAGTTTATATTCACCCACAGATGGACACCTGGATTGCTTCTAGTATTTGACTATTATGAAGAAAGCTACTATGACATTTGTGTATAGGTTGTTATGTAAACATGAGTTTTTATTTCTCTTGGAAATTACTTAGGAGTGTAATTGCTTGAGTTGTATGTTGGTTGTATGTTTAGTTTTGTAGGAAACTGCTCAGCTGTTTTCCAGCATGGTTCTCCAACATCACAGCCCATGATGTTAAGTGGTCCTCATGCTCACGCCGTCCCCACAATTGGTTTTATCACCACTTTTTCTGCTCCAAAAGTTGTGTAATGACACCTCGTTGTGGTTTAAATTTGCATTTTCCTGATGGCTAATGATACTGAACATTTTGTCAGATGCTTATTTACTATCTGACATCCTCTTTGGCAAAATGTCTAAGTCTTTTTCCCATTTTCTAAGCGGATGTTTCTTACTAAGTTTGGAGAATTCTTTGTGTAGTCAAGATATTAGTGCTTTGTAGAATACATGGTTTGCAGCTATTTTTTCTCAGTCTGCGGCTTGTCTTTTCACTTTCTTCATGTGGGTTTCAACACATGGCAAAAGCTTTTAATTTTGATGAAGTCTAGTTTATGGGCTTTCCCATAAAGGCCAGTGCTTTTGCTGTCAACTCTAAGGATTCTTTGCCTAGCTGTACTTTACAGAGGAGTCCTTCTATACATATTCCTAAAAGTTTTACAGTTTTACATATTACATTTAAGTCTCTTATCCCTTTTGAGTTAGTTTTTGTATATGGCATGAGACAGAGGTTGAGGTTCACGGTTTGCCTGGCAGTTCGTGTATCCAACTGTTCAGTAGCATTTGTTGAAAGGACTCGCCTTTCTCCATTGAACTGCTTTTCTGCCTTCATCAAAAACTAGTTAGATGTATTTGTGTGGGTCTATTTCTGAGCTCTCTGTTCTGTTACACTGATGTGTGTCTAGTCTTCTACCAATGCCACACATTACTAATTACTATAACTGTTTAGTAAATGTTAATATCAGGCGGAGTGATGTTTCTCACTTTATTGTTCTTTGTCAAGAGACTTAACTATTCTAGGGCAGGTGCCAATCTATATAAGTTTGAGAGTACCATAAACATATATGCATGTATACTCCCAGCAATGTATAAAAACATTGCTGGGATTGTGATAGGAATTACATTAAAGCTATTGATAAATTTGGAGAAAATTGACATATTTACTATGTTAAATCTTTCAGCTCATGAACACTATGTGTCCTGTGAATCGTCAAATGTTTCTTTTTTGGCATTAGCTGATATATCATGTTCTTTCTTTAGCCTCTTCTAATGGTGGATGACATTGATTGATTTTTTTAAAAGTTGACTCAGCCTTTCATAAAATGGAATAAATTCTACTTCATGATTGAGTATAATTGATTTGTACATTGTTGCATTCAGTTTTCTAATATTTTGTTGAGGATATTTGCAACTACATTCATAAAAGATATCGGTCTATAGTTTTCTCTTTCTTTTTTGTACTGCCTTTGTCTGACTTTGGTATCAGTTGAATACTATCTTCATTATAAGATTATAATGGCTATAAAATATTTTCTCTTTTGTTATTTTCTGCAAGAGTTTATGAAATCTTGACGTTAATTGTTACTTATAAATTAGTAGAATTTTCTATTGAAACCATCTGGGTCTGAGGATTTTATTTTTGGTGAACATGTTATACCATTAATTTCTATAATAAAGGACTATTTAGATTGTCTGTTTTATCTTGGTTGAGTTTTGGTAGTTAATAGTTTTTGACAAATCAGTTTATATCTAATAATATGTTGAATTTATGAATTTACAGTTATTTATAATATTTCCTTATTATCTTTGTGATGGCTGATGAATCTGTAGTAATAGCCTCTATTTTATTTCTGGTATTTGTAATTGTTCCCTTCTATCTCTCTCTCCCTTTCTCTTTTTCTGACTTTCTGCAAGTGTTCTTATAGCTTCATCAATTATATTATTTTTGAAAGAGAATATTTGTTTCGTTATTTTTTCTACTGTTTATCTATTTCTATTTCATTAATTTAGACCTCTATCGCACTCTTCCTCCTAGTTTCTTTGAGTCTATTTTGCATTACTTATGCTAGAATCTTGAGGTAGGAACTTAAGTAATTTTTTTCATTCTTTTCTATCTAATGTAGTCATTTACTGTTATAAATTTTCCTCTTGGCACTGTTTTATCTGCTTCCCACATATTTTTATATGTTGTGTTTTTATTTTAACTTCATTCTATGTATTTCTTTATTTCACTTGAGACTTTCCCTTTGAATCATGGATTATTTAGAAATGTGTTATTTAACTTCCATATGTTTAGAGATTTTTCTACTGCCTTTTAATAACTGATTTCTAGTTTGATTCCTTTGTGATCAGAGAACAAATTCTCTATGATTTCAGTTCATTTGAATATGTCAAGATCTATTATCTGGCCCAGGGTGTGATTTATCTTTTGTCAGCTTTTCATAGGGCTTTGAAAAACATGTGTATTGAGTTGAGAGTTCCATATTCGTCAGTTAGATCCTGTTGGTTGATTGAATATCCTTTGTGATATTTTCTGCCTGTTTGCTAAGGGTGCTAAAGTTTTCAACTATACTTGTGGAGGTTGCTATTTTTCTCTTAGCTTTATCAGTTTTTGCTTCTTGTCGTGAAGCTCTGATATTTGGTTTGTACACATTTAGGAGTGTTACATATTTCTGGTGGGTCAATCCTTTTATTATTTTGTGGTGTCCCTCTTTGTCTCTGATACTTTTATTTGCCTTAAGTCTACTTTGTCAGATATTAACATAGGCACTCCTGCTTTTTATTATTAATATTTACATGGTATGTCTTTTGTTTCTTTTACTATCAATATGCCTGGGTCATTGATTTTGACATATATTTTAAGCCTCATTATTTGGGTAATTTTTTAATACATTCTGCCTCTCTCTGATATTTCAGTGGCATATCTAGACCATTTATATTTAAGGTAATTATTGATATGTTTAGTGCTTTGTCTGGCATTTTATTATTTCTTTATTTCTGGTTCTCATTCCCCTTTTACTGCTTTTCTTGCCTTCCTAAGGGTTATTAAGTTTTGTTTTTTAATTTTATCTTAACCTGTTTGTGGTATATTTCATGTATTTCTTTGTAGTTTTCAAAGTGGTTGTTCTGGGCATTACAATAAACATATGTGACTTATAACAGTCTACTGATACATTTATTTCCTACTGTTACTATAGAATATTCCACAAACTTGGTGGCTCAAAACAGCAGAAATTTGTACTCTCAGTTCTGGAAACCAGAAGTCCAAGTCAGGTTTTCTAGGCCAGCATCAACATGTGGGCAGAGCTGTAATCACTCCAAAGGCCCTGGGGAAGAATTCATCCCTTTCTTCTTCCAGCTTAGGGCAGCTGCTGGCGTTCCTTGGCTTGTGGCCACATCAACCCACTCTCTGAATTCAGAGTCACGAGACCATCTTCTCTGCCTGAAATCTCCCTCTGCCTCTCTCTTATATGGATACTAGTGGTGGCATTTAGGGCCCACCTACATCATTCAGGACAATCCCCCACATTTCGATCCTTAACTTAATCACATTTGCAAAATCTTTCATCTGAAAAGTAAGTTTCACAGATTTGAGGGATTAGAGTGAGAGCAGGATTGGACAGGAGTGAGGCCATTATTTATCTTACTACAACTAATGCGAACATTTACCACCTGAAGTATGGAAACTGCACTTGCATTTAGGGCCCTTTACCCCTTCAACTTTTTGAAATTATTATCTGAAGTACCAGACGCTGTTCTAATTGTTGTTTCAATCATTAAGTAAGATTTATGGAACTCATGGTAAGCAAAATAGTCCAGTTTATATTGTATAGATTCCTCTTGTTTTTTCTCTTTTGAAAACACAGGTAAAAGTTTCTTTTCTTTTCTCCTTCATTTCTTTTCAAGAAGAATGTTCTTGAGCCAACCATTAAGGGCAGGTCTACCAACTACTCTGGTTTTTTTTTTTTTTTTTTTTTTTTTGAGATGGAGTCTCGCTCTGTTGCCCAGGCTGGAGTGCAGTGGCTAATCTGGGCTCACTGCAAGCTCCGCCTTCTGGGTTCAAAGCACTCTCCTGCCTCAGCCTCCCTAGTAGCTGGGACTACAGGTGCCTGCCACCACGCCTGGCTAATTTTTTGTATTTTTAGTTCAGACAGGGTTTCACTATGTTAGCCAGGATAGTCTCGATCTCCTGACCTTGTGATCCGCTCACCTCGGCCTCCCAAAGTGCTGGGATTACAGGCGTGAGCCATTGCCCCCAGCCTACCACCTACTCTTAATTTGCAAAAACAAATTATACGCCTGATAATTTTTTTAAGTTCCCTTTATTTCTGAAGGATAGATTCACTGAATATAGAATTTGTGGTTGTCAGTTCTTCCTTCTGGCCTCCATGATCCCAAATGGGAAAATCATTGTCATTGAAGTAGTTTTATCCTGTAGGTAACATTTTGTTTCTTTTTGGTTGTTTTTTCTGTCTTTAGTTTTTAAAACTTGGATTAGATGTGTCTTGGAATGGATTTGTTTAGGTTTATTTTTGAGAGGTTAACTTAGATTTTTTTGGGTCTATAAATTCACGTGTTTTGCCAAATTTGGTAAGTTTTCAGCAATTATTTTTTTAAATAATTTCAACACCATCATCTAGCTCGTCTCCTTTTGGAATTCTAATGATAAAAAATAGTTGGATTCTTTTTTCTATGTGTATTTGTTTTGTTTTGTTTTGTCCCACAGGCCTCTGAAGCTTTATTCGTTTTTCCTTTTAATTTTTTATTTTTGAGACAGAGTCTTTCTCCATTGCTCCAGGGGGCTGGAGTGCAGTGGCACGATCTGTGCTCAATGCATCCTCCGCCTCCTGGGTTCAAGCAATTCTTCTGCCTCAACCTCCTGAGTAGTAGGGACTACAGGTGTGTGCCACCACACCCAGCTAATTTTTTTTTGTATTTTAATAAAGATGGGGTTTCACCGTGTTGCCCAGGCTGGTCTTGAACTCCTGAGCTCAGGCAATCCATCCACCTAGGCCTCCCAAAGTGCTGAGATTACAGATGTGAGTCACCACTCCCGGCCCCTTTTCCATTTGTAGTCTGTTTTGTCTCTGTTGTTTAGTGTAGGAGAATTCCATTGATCTCAAGTTCACTGATTCTATTATTGCTCATTTCAATTTTAATATTAAGCAAATCTAGCTATTTTTAGTTTTCTCTTCTGTTATTTTTAGTTCCATAATTTCCTTTTAGTTCATTTTTATAACTTATTTCTTTACTTAGATTTATCGTTTTTTTTCATCTGTTTGCAGATAATTTGTAAATGATCACTGAAGCATTTTTAAGCGACCTGGCTTTAAAATCCACCCTCTGATTCATTTCTGTTGGGGTTGGTTGATTGTCTTTCATCATTCAAGCCGTGATTTCCTTGGCTCTTGGTGTGATGATTGTGTCCCAGCTCTTTTGTGTGTCATGTTAGGTATTGCTAGGTACTATTTATATTTTTTATGAGATTGATGAAAAAGCAACTGTGGTTTTTTGCCACTGAAAGTAATGGCATTTATGCCATTGAAAGAAATGGCAGGCTGGGCGCGGTGGCTCACACCTGTAATCCCAGCACTTTGGGGGGCCGAGGTGGGCAGATCACCTAAGGTCGGGAGTTCAAGACTAGCATGACCAATACGGAGAAACCCCATATGTACTAAAAGTACAAAATTAGCTGGGCATGGTGGTGCATGCCTGTAATCCCAGCCACTTGGGAGGCTGAGGCAGGAGAATCACTTGAACCCAGGAGGCGGAGGTTGCGGTGAGCCAAGATCATGCCACTGCACTCCAGCCTGGGTGACAAGAGTGAAACTTAGTCTAAAAAATAAATAAATAAATAAAAATAATGGCAAAAACTGCAATTGCTTTTGTACCCACCTAATATTTTAGCAAGCAAGTACCTTGTTTAGGCTTGGCATGTGGGTCTCAGCCTATTTTGTGGGCTGGGGAGGAGGTTCCAATGATAATTTGACTATTGGAGGCTTCAAGGGTTTACTTTTATCTGCTCAGTGCCTTTAGTGCCCAAGGAGTCTCCACTGCTTTCTGCTGGTGCTGGCTGAGGGGGCAGAAGGATTTCCCAGGCTTGGAGTGCATGGGGTTGGGTGGGCTTGGGGAGATGTTGGTGAGGCGATGAGGGAGGTCGGAGGGACCACTCTTTGCAGTGCCCCGTCACCTATTCCGCCCACTCTACCGCTGTGTCTGGGTGGGGAAGAGACTCAGTCTCACACCTACTGGGACGAAGGGCCTCCCCAGGTGAGATCATTTATATAGCTGCATCCCTCTTGCAGGTTCTGCCTTCTTAGATATTTTTTCTTCGACAAGGCAGCCCTGGGACCACAAGGAACATGAAGACTTCCTTGGATGTTTGTTGTTGGTGTGGCTCTTACATCCATTTTATTTGCTGTGGTGCTGCGTAGTCTGGTAGTCAGACGGGTCACAGTTGCATCTGGAGAAGGAACGGGCTTGCTGGGGTCCTTCTGTTGCCTGTTCAGGGGTGGAAAACAGCAAGTCGGAGTGGCCTTCTGTTTGTGATCGGCCACAAGTCACCCCATGCTCTGCTGTTTCTCTGGTCTTCGGTCCCAGGCCAGCTTGTCTTTCTCCTATCACATTTTAGCAGTGTCTTCTGGTAGCTTCTTGTGCCATTATCAGGCCTGATATTTGTGTTTTACACAGAGGGGGAAGGAAAAAAGGATCTGCATGTCATGAGGACTGGCAGTCCATATACTTTTAAGTAGTGTGGGCTGCACTCAGTAAAGGAAATCTGTAAAGTAGCATCACGTTGGGCTTTAGTCAACTTTTATTTTCCCCTTAGATCTGCAAGATCAAGAGGTTTGGATTACATCTTTTTCACGCAGTTCCGCACGTGAACAATTTATAATTCAGATAATGTTTAGTGAATTTAAAATAGCGATTGTAAATGATTGATGTTAAGTCACATCATCTTCTGTGCCACCTGGCTGTAATGGATTTCAGCACAGTAAATAAAGTCTGCCATACTTGAGTGAGGCGTGTGCATGAGTCAAAGTAAATGAAATCTAAAGCTTGTTCTAATTTCATGTTGATGCCAGTGGGGAAATGATAGTAACTTCAGTATATGTATGAATTATCTTCAGTTTTAACATTGTATTTAATAATATGATTATTTATTCAATGAAAGCACTCCCTTGACTTATTTTTCAGTCAGCTTGATTTATAAATCAGATTCCTGCTCTTTTCCACCTGCCCTGGCCCTCTGCAGTGGTACACATCATATAAATAAACATGGAATCTGTAACTACCATGTCCTGGGAACCCGGCTAGGTGCTGGGTAGGTGGAGAACGTGTAACTCACTTTACTTGCTCTCAGTACCTCCTCAATACTGTATCTGAAGATATGTGAGAGACCCAAGAGTGCAAATATGGCCTTCCAGAGCTTAAATTCCTTCTGGTTTGGCTTATCAAATAACTGAGTTGACTTCTTCCTCTGCCCCTGGCTGCTTTGCAGCTGCCAATTTGTACCAGAGATATTTATCAACACATGTCTGAAACTCATTACTGGTATTTTACTCCATCCTCAAGAGGAATGAGTCTGCCCAGGTACCCAGGTGCCTGAAAAGATAGTACCTTGTCTTTACTTATCCTTATTAATCTCCAGCTCACCCTGTGTCTACCCAATTAAGGCAAGTAGTCACTTAAATCATACAATTAAGTAACTCTGCTTTCTCCACATTCTGAACAATTTATGCCATTCGTGGACATTAAAGGAACATAAAGACTACAAAGCAGTTCAGTTTTAGGCAAGTTTTTATCTGAAGGGCAGGCTTTACGTTTCCATTGTCAAATTTTCAACTGTAATGAGTATATTAAAGGTTTAGCACATCTCCCCCTTTTTTAAAATTCAGGTACATACCCATAAAATCCAGGCATCTCATATTGCAGGTGCTACATTTTATTAGTGTTGTATTTTGACAGCTTCGTGACACATGCAGAATTTTTCTTCAGGTCTGAACAAATTATTTTTAAGTGATATACAGTAAAGTAGAACTTTCTGTGTGTACAGATCTATGACTGTAAATACATGTATAGATCTGTGTAACCACCAGCAAAATCAGAACACAGAACATTCCCTTCACTTCAAAATACTGTAGTATCCCTTTGTGTTGACAGGCTCCCCCAACTTAAACCCTGAACTACTTACTGATTCACATTTTTTTTTTTTTTTTTTTTGAGGCGGAGTTTCGCTCTGTTGCTCAGGGTGCAGTGACACGGTCTTGGCTCACTGCGACCTCTGCTTCCCAGGTTCAAGCCATTCCCTTGCCTCAGCCTCCCAAGTAGCTGGGATTACAGATGTCTGCCACCAAGCCTGGCTAATGTTCATATTTTTAGTAGAGATGGAGTTTGATCATGTTGGCCAGGCTGGTCTCGAACTCCTGACCTCAAGTAATCTGCCCGCCTTGGCCTCAAAAAAGTGCTGGCATTACAGGAGTAAGCCACCAAGCCTGGCTGATTCATTATTTATCCTTGTAATTTTGGGGTGTGAGAATGTCACACCAATGGATGTATGTTCTGTGTAACCTTTGAGATTGCAAGCGGAAAAGCCAAGTGGTACCGCCATTCTGGAAGATAGGTTGGTAGTTTCATATGATAGTAAATATACATCAATCATATGGCCCAGAAATCCACCTCCTAAGTATTTACCCTAGAAAAATTTTATACCATGTGAATGTTTATAGTAACTCTATTCATAATTGCCAAAATAGAAACATTGTGAATATTCTTTGACAGGGAATTGGAAAAACACATGTATATTTTTATAAGAGAACTAAAATCATTACTCCCAAAAACAAACTACTGATACACACAACAACATGGGAATTTCAGTGGGTTATGTTGATGAAAGATTTCAGAGTCAGAGATAGGTGTTATCCATCTCTTGTTTTGTTTTTGCATTTGTATTTTGGTTGAGCCAAGGCCTCGCTATGTTGCGCAGGCTAGTCTTGAACTCCTGGACTCAAATAGTCTTCCCACCTCAGCCTCCGAAAGTGCTGGGATTACAGGCATGAGCCATCACCTCCAGCCCTTAACACATGTATTTCACGTAGATTAGAATAGAACTATTGAACCATTTAGCAAGGTGCAAAGGGAAGATTTGATCAGAGATGAAATTGTTCTTGTCTACACAGTAAAATGACAAGTAACCAAAACATCATAAAGTTACTGTATCTTATGGTTGTCATTAAGCTTTCAAGAACACTGACACATTTGCATTGGAAAGAGTTTAGTTACACTCTCAAAGAGTTAAAGGTACTCACAAAGTGCCCTAGTTGTAAGGCAGGAACAAATACATAATCACATATCATTTCCTTCATTTTGGGTTAACCGCTTCACATACTTGAAATTGGAGAAATAATCACTGTTGATTTCAGTTCAACATCGATACTGACTGCAACCAGACATATCAATGTGAGACAGCAGTATCTTCACTGAAATCTGTGCAAAAGATCACAGAATTTTAGGTCTGAAGAGTTCCTTCAGGTTGGATTAATACAATTCTCTTGTTTCATAGATGAGGAACCTGGAATACAGATAAAATGATTTAGCTAAAATCACACGTGAATTAATGACAGAGCCATCACAGAACTCCAAATGTTAAGCCCTTGGTATGCTGCCTAACATAACACTAAGATTTACATCATTATTTGGAAATATTCCTATAAAATTTAAACATGTAGCTGTATAATGAATACAGTGTAGGTTAATTTATATTTTTATTTATTGATTTATTTTAAAAATGTTTATGTTATTTACTAGAGACTAGGGATAAAGTGGCCAAGAGACATAAAATTGCACCCAGAGAGCTCAGAATTTGAAAGAAGGTGGAGGTTGAAGCAGTTTTCTGTGAAACTGAATTGCGTGAAGGATTCTGTGATGACCTAGAGGCAAAAATCCTAATCTGGCTTCAAGAGGCTAAGAAATGCCCAGCGAGAATCCTCAGAGTCTTCAAAGACTCTTAGCTTAGCAGGAAGAGTTGACAGTCCATACAAGGATTTCAGGGTTTGCAAAGCCCTGGGAACGGAGAAATGCCATCATTCTGGAGAATGGGGAAAAATAAATATGGCTGGAGCTGAACACGCCTGGGAGATGACAGAGTTTTACACTGCAGGGCTTGGGGGCAAAAAAGGCAGGCAGCTACAATATGATGGCTTATTTCTCCAAAATAAAATTATATTTTCCTCTATCAAAAATAGATTTATTTAGTGTTTCATTAGGATAACATTATTTTTAAGTTTAAATCAGAACAATATGTACTATAGAGTCAACTTGGGGAAAAATTGAGCTGTGTTAAAGAAAGCAAGACTAGTTGTGTAACTATATGTTTTGATGAATGTTAAAGTATAGTAAGTTCCCACTTAACATCATTAATAGGTCTTTGGAAACTGTGACTTCAAGTAAAACTCTGTATACCAAAACCAATTTCCCCTTAGGCTAATTGATATAAACAAGAGTTAAGTTCCTAAGCATATTTCTGCTCACAAAAAGCAAGACCAAACTTCTGCATAAAGACCAAAACACTCCTAATATTAAACATTTAAGTAAATGTGAACTATACACACTTTTAAGAAAGATTAATGAAGACAAGAAAGATTACTGTTTACCAAATTTTTGGTGGATGGATGAGTGACATTCATAGGGGTGCAGGTTGGTTACATCAAGGGATAAATAAATGTTTGTTTGCCAAGAAAACATTGTCAGGAAAACCTCTTCCCCCGAGAGAGGTCAAAAACATTTACACATGTGACAGCTCCCTGAGCACTTTGCTATTGCATTGTTTATTGTCCTGCATTTGTATGATTATCATATACTTGAAACATTTTTATTTGACGATTTATATTCATTCATTCATTCCTTTTCCAACCAGCTCATTAGCTAATGCCAATAAACCTCACATGCACAGCTTTGGGATGTGGGAGAAAACCTGGGAGCAAGTCCAGGCAGACATGGGGAGCATGCCAACCTGATTGATATGACTTGGCTCTGTGTCCCCACTCAAATCTCATCTCTAATTGTAATCTCTATAATCCCCATGTGTTGAGGGAGGTGTTTGGATCATGGGGGCAGTTTCCCCCATGCTGTTCTCATAATGGTGAAGGAGTTTTTACTAGATCTGATGGTTTTATGTTTGACATTTCCTCCCTCACATGCTCTCTCCTCCTGCCATGTAAGACGTGCCTTGCTTCCCTTTCACCCTCTACCATGATTGTAAGTTTCCTGAGGCCTCCCAAGCCATGTGGAAATACGAGTCAGTTAAATCTCCTTTCTTTATAAATTACCCAGTCTCTAGGTCTTGGATAATATCTTCATAGCAGTGTGAGAGTAGACTGATACACCCATACAGACACCACCCCTGCTAGGAATCTATCTTCTTCATCATTGTTATAATGAAATGACATTCAACAAAATGACTTCATTTGAGCACCTACTGTATTTAATCAAAGCCAGTATCTATTTTATTTTTCAGGTATTATTATTTTGAAAATCCTGTTTCAAACAGATAACCAGTTGCAAAGGGCAACAATATTGCTTGCTTCTTTGTTTTAAAGAAATAATATCTCAGTGTTAGCAAGCCAAAATAGTTCTAAAAACCAGAAAGAGGAACAAAAGTTCTTTTGTTTTAAATAATTATAAAATAACATAAAAATTTAAAAATAAAAAGTGCTTTTACTGTATGAAATTTTTGTAAGTTAATCAGCTTTAAAATAACTATAATAAGCTGTAATTACAGTTCTTCTCATAAATATAACTGTCACATAGCAGGCTTAAATTCCAAAATGAGTAATAAACATAAACCTGATTTGACATTTGATTGAAGAACTTTGTGTGGAATATGGCAGTGTGCTTGCTGACTGTTTCATGCAAATGAACAAAGTAATATAAGATTAAATTAAAGCAAAGTTCAGTATAGAACTTAAGAAATTAAATATATCGACTGAGAGGTATGTCTAAAGTAGTTGAATAGACAGTATAAGTCTTTTCAATGTGTAAGAATTTTTTACATGACAATTACGTTTTTAGTAAGTTAAAATCAAGTCGAATGTCTAGGGGAGATGAAATGCCAGAACCAGGAGACAGAGTTAGGAGCCTACTTTGGTGGGGTGGGTGTGAGATAATCAGTGTTCAGCTGAGAGGTTGGAAATGGGGAGAAAACAGTGGTGTGAAAAACATCAAAGAAGTACGAGGAAAATAAACTCCCCCAACAGTTACTTCTAGTGGCCGATGACTGGTGACATGAAAAGAATAAAAAAAAAACTTAGGAGATTTTAAGAGGCAGGTATTTCATGTTTTGACTGCCCTAAATGTTTTCCCCCTTATACTTATGAGTAAAGTTATCTGCTGAGAACAGAAGAAATAAGGGCTGGGAATGGGCTTGAGAAAAATGATGACGACTTAGGGCAATAACAAATGGCAATAGGAAAAATACACTGACTATAATTCAGGAAAAAAATGTGGCACCATGTGTCTAGTGTGAGTCTGGAAATTTTATATATATATATGTCAGTATAAATCAGCAAGTTCTTCATCATCTTTCTTGTGCACACATACAGGAAGATAGAGAGTGGATGGTTGGATTGATCTCAAGTTGGAGTTTTGTCAGAGATGGGACAGATTGGTAGTAGACTTTAACACAGTTAAGGTGCTGGAAAGACAGAATAGCAGAGTACCAATCATGTTGTCCAGGCTGGGTAAAAATGTGACAAAATCATTAGTAGAGGTCCCCAAGAATTGGGAAGTGTGTTTCAGAAAGTACACACTTACAATAGTTAAAAGATGTTGCAGTGTGGTCAGCAAGAGGGGTTAGGTGCTTAAGTTTGTTATGATAAAGAGTAGGAAGGTGCAAGGTATGACCAGTGATTTCATACCTTGCACCTTGATGTTATACCTTGCAGTAGAGTGGAGAGAAAAGTTATTGGGTTAAAAGAGCCAAGAACCCTTGAGTCACTTTACAAGCATTATCAGATTGCCCACAGGGAGCAATGACAACAAGCCAGGGGCTACACGAAGGGAGAGGACGATGATGGACAGCAGTAGAGTCATGTTGCATGGTGGCATAAGTCTCAAAGTGAAAGGGGTGTAAAGTGGGGAACACAGATGAGTAGGGTGCTGACATCACCTGTAATCCCAAAGGGAGAAGGGAAAACACTCTCCTCGACTCGTTTTGCATGTGAACCAAGTGCCATGTGTGTATTAACATGTAGGGAAAAACTAACGGCTATGCCCACATTCTTCTTTAACTGTGTAATATTAAAACAGTATGTTTACTTTCCTCTTCCTTCTTCTACCCAAAACCATGAATTTGACTTAAGATACATATTTTTCTTTTATATATTCACTTATCTTAGGGAATGATAACAGAAAGCAAGGAAGGAAGGAAGGAAAGAAGAAAGGAAGAAGGAAGGAAGGAAGGGAGGGAGGGAGGGAAAGGAAGGAAGGAGAGAGGAAGAAGGGAGGGAGAGAGGGAGGGAAGGAAGGAGAGAGGAAGAAGGAGGGAGGGAAGGAAGGAGAGAGGAAGAAGGAAGGAGGGAGGGAGAGGAGGGAGGGATGAAGGAAGGAAGGAACGAAGGAAGGAAGGAATGAAGGAAGGAAGGAAAGAAGGAAGGAACTAAGCCAGATTCCAAACTTGATATATAGAAAGCCCTGCAACTAATACTTATGGAATATAATTTGTTGTAATTGCATGTGGAACCAAAATTGACTATATTTAAATCAAAACTGCTAATTTCTGACAAGGACTGGTATCTGTACTACAATATATCAAGAGAGTTTTCAGTATTTAAAAGGAGGAAAAGAGAGACCTCTCATTCAAGAAGACGTATAAATGGCAAATAAACCCATGAGACAATGTTGTACATCATTACCCATTAGTTAAATGCACGTAGCTGTTAAAGTGTGGAAAAATGCCGACAACACCGAATGCCTATTGAGAATACAAAGAATCTGGGGTGCTCACACACTGCTGGTGGGAATGTACAAACAGTCTGGGGAAAAATTTGGTAGTTTCTTTAAATACTCAACATGATTTCACAATGCAGCTATTGCCCTCTTGCGCTTTTATCTCAGGTAAATGAAGATTTATGCTCACACAGAAACCTGCACACACATATTCAAAGCAGCTTTAGGTGTCATCTGCCAAAACTAGTATCAGTCCAAATACCCTTTACCAGGTGGTTAATTAAGCAAGCTGTGGTATATCCACAACATGACATACTACCCAGCGATAAAAGGGAACAAACTATTGGTATAAACAACAACTGGGATAAATCTTCCAGGAATTAAGCTAAGTAAAATCCAATCCCAGGTTGTTAAACACTGTGATTTCATTTGTATGATTTTTTTAAATAAATAATTTAGAGATGGATACTGATTAGTGGTTGCCAGGGGTTAGGGACAGTGAAGGGGGTGTAGCAAGAGGGGCATGAGTGTGATTTTAAGGGAAGAGCACCAGAGAATTTGGAAGGAATGGAGCTGCCCTGCATTGACTATGGCGGTGGATTCAGGAGCCGAGACATGTGACGTATTTGTGCAGAGCTACATGCACAAATGTACATACAAAATACGAATAAAACAGGGAAAGTTTTAACGAGGCTGGTAGGTTGTATCCATGTCAATGTCCTGATTGTTATAGTTTTGCAAGATGTTACCACTCGGGGAAACTAGGTAAATAATACATGTAATCTCTTTATATTATTTTGTACTACCTACCACATGTGTATCCACAATTATCTTAATAAAAATTTCAAGAATTTAGAAATGTTAATCATCCCCTACTTGTGTTTATACACTATAAATTCTATGTAGAAATTGAAGTAAATGAAACAATACTACAAACAATAACATGAATACATTTCACCAAAATCATGTTGAACAAAATGTTATATATAGTATGATTTCATTTACAAAAAAACTTTAAAGAAGATGTAAAACTGATAGTTTGGCAAGATGGGAGGAGAGGATGGTGACTGGGAGAAGGTACAAGAAGGCTTTGGGGTGTTGGTAATTGTCTAAGTGTTGATCTGTGTGGCGGTTCACTTTGTAAAAATTCATAGAGTTAGACATTCACGATCTGTGCGCTTTTTGGCTTGTTACACTTCAATAAATGTATGAATAAGAAAGAAAGAAAAAAATCTCTCTTCAAACAAGCCAACAAAACAAGCAAATGAAAAAGAACAATGTTGCCAACGAAGACAAATCTTCAGAAAGAAATACATATTTAGTTAACCACACAGCATTCACAGAAATAGTTTCCTCTTTTCAATTTGTGTGTAACATTGCATGAGTTACTTCACATATAATGACAGTTGTTCTTCTTCCTTTGAAGAATCCGGTGCTCTGTACTGCCTAAGGTGAGGATGTAGGGTTGATAGACAGATGATATGATTGATGGGGCAAATCATATGCTCATATTCCTGAAACTACTTTGCTGAAAGTCAAGCTTCCTATTTGATTAGGGACATTTGTTTTGGTTGAATTGATTTTCTTCTTACACTTTTTCTATTTCAACATGCTTTTCTGTCAGCATGTTGAGTTCAATCAATGGATTTAGTGTTTCTTTTCACTGGCTGACAGCAGCCCCTATGTGACTGTTTTGTTAATGCACAATGAATGCTTCATTGAAACTCACATTTGGTGTGACCCAGACATTAATATGCGGGGGGAGTGTTCAATAAATGCTGCCAAATCTATTTCAGCTATGCATGTTGTTCTTTTCAAAATTCTCTTAATGTATAATTACCTATAATATATTTTAAAAGGAGAGTTTGTGATAAAGTTACATACTAGTTCTAGACAATGAAAACCTTTTGTGAATGAACCCATACAATTTGTTGTGATAGAGATGCTTTGTCTTTCATGGCTGGTGTTGTGCAATCCTACAGCAACTGTGCACATCTCTAGTCACCTCACATGAACAACTGTGCCATATTTTTTCCAGGACTGTCCCAGTTGTAACATTGTAATTCCTGCACCTGGGGAAGCCTCTCGGTTCCAGGAAAATGGGATGGTTGATTGCCCTAAATTGATTTTTTAAAAGAAAATTCACGAATTGGCAGCCATAGAATAGAGTAATTTCTGTAAAGCACCAGTGATAGTGATGTTTGAATATTAATATAATGGACCAGAGGCTGTACAGTCTTTGAAAGAGGGTCTTGCTACCTATATATCTAGGGTTTGGCTGTTTAAAGCAGCAAGACCCTCCTTTCAGGTGGAAGTCGATGTACTTGTTGCCTTACCTAAAAGCTTTGACATTTCTCTTTCTTGCAGGCTCACGGGATCCAGTGTTCCTGACCTCATTGTGAGCATGAGCAACCAGATGTGGCTACATCTGCAGTCGGATGATAGCATTGGCTCACCTGGGTTTAAAGCTGTTTACCAAGGTATGATGAGATTACACTTCACAGGGTTGGAAGTTAGCATTCCAAGAGAGGGCAGAGAGCATTCTGTGTTGGTTAGGTAGAAGTAAAATCAACAAGTCAAACAATGCTGATAAATAGGAATCATGACGGGAACTTCCTTAAAGTCTACTAACACTCGCTTTCGTGAATGAGAATGTTTAACTTCTGAAAACTCGGCTTGCCATGATATGTGCTCTGATTATCCCAAAATAAAGAGTGAGGTGAAGTATTAGGTGTAAGCTAGGAAGTGTGGGCATATGTGGGGATCTTTTGACCATATCATATTGGCTGGTGTCTCTGAAAACCTTCTTTTATGTGAGCAAACATAGAAAAGACAATATAGTGAATCTGAAAATACTTACAATTATAAATTTTTATGAGCCAAATTCAAATATTTGAAATGAAAGCCCTGTGCCTGTCATTGTTTTTGAGCTAGTTTACAACTTTACAAGTTATAGAAAACTGATAGCAATGCAAACAATTTCTGAACCATTGAAATGCAAATGAATTTCCTGTGAAAAAGATCCCATTAATTATTGTCCTGTGGATATTGATTACTTTTAAATGGATTAGCAAGTTTATTTCAGTATTTCTGATTGTCTATATAGTTGTGATCTTTGGATTCTCCTTTGAAATAGTTTTTAAAATATCTTATTGGTTCCTTCATTGGTAACTGAGTTCCTTAAAGTATTTGAACCGATAGATGTGTATGTGTTTAGGTAAAAATGAGAATATTTATCTGGAGCTGTTGGAACTGTATTTTATTCTACTTTTTGAATTTGAGTAAATAGGCAGTATGTTCTTATTTCCCAAGTGTATACCATAGGAATAGTTTTAGGAGCTGAAAAATGTAACAAGAAGTTATTACCCATGAAATCAATGAAGGAGATAATAAAAAAGCATCCACCAATCCTAAATCAACAAGCATGGTAAGGGACATTGTCATGAGTCCATGTGAGTGAACACGCCACACCTTGGCTGCTCTCTCTCTCTGTGTGGGATAAAGGGTCACAATATTAAAGGGTCTCTTGGTGTGTGGGCCCACCCCGGAGTATCCTCATCTACAAAGCATAAAATAGGGTCCCTCCTTGCTGACACACGGGGTGTGTTGGGGACTTAATGACCCTTGTGAATAAGAAATACTACGACAAAAAATGTATATTTACATCCCTTTCAATGACTAAAACTAGAATGCAGAGGCAACTGCTGAATACCTCCTGACGTTTGAATTTTTAGACCTGACCTTCAATTGAACTTTTATGTGACTGTGCAGTTATTCAGGAAAGTATGGTGGAGATATCATATTTTCCACATGACCTGCATTTGCTGCTGCCTTTGGTAGAATCTGAAATCATCAGTGAAATACCAGACACTTCCCAACAGGGCAAATTGCAGTAAATTCATCTCAGCAGCATTGAGATACACATCATGAGGTTTATGGTACCAGGAATAGGAGAGGAACCTCGTGCCCAAACTGCATCCTTGACTATGAAGAGACATAAGTAGTCCCAATAAAAGGTAAACATTCTTCTATGTGTCATATTTCACAGTGAATGACCACACCACATTAATTATAATTACATTTTACCCTAATTAGTGCTGTGGTAAGAGTCTCAGTAGCCACCCTGAGATGGCTTTTCATGAGATGTCATAAAAACGTGAATGGCCATCAGTCCTTGAGAGATGGCCAATTCAATGTCATGTGTTATCTTTGACAAAAGAATAGTCCAAAGGCAAAAAGGTAATTAAAACCATTAACCAATACAACATTTGAGGATTTTAAAAAATTAAGAGATTATAACAGTAGAAGACATTCTAAAAATGCATATTTCCAGAGTACTATATTAAGCTAACAGTTGAAGACAAAGTGCAAATCACTTATAAAAGTGACCTTTATGCGTATACATAATTTTATATTATTTGACTCAAAGCAAAGTTATTCATAAATTATATTATCAGAAAACAGCCCGGGCAGGGGGGCTGACACCTTTAATCATAGTGCTTTGGGAGACCAAGGCAGGCGGATCACTTAAGGTCAGGAGTTCCAGACCAGCCTGGCCAACATGGTGAAACCCCTATCTCTCCTCAGAATACAAAAAAAAAAAAAAAAAAAAAATTAGCTGATTGTGGAGGGTGGGTACCTGTAATCCCAGATACACAGGAGGCTGGGGCAGAAGAATCGCTTGAACCCGGGTAGTGGAGCTTGCAGTGAGCCAAGATCGTGCCACTGCACTCCAGCCTAGGCAACAGAGTGAGACTCCATCTTAAAAAAAGAAAAAAAAATTATCAGAAAATATATACAGCATATATTCACATAGAGTTAAATGTTCTACGTTTTGATGTTGCCTGATTTTCACTAACATCTAGTGTTAGGAACACAGGCTCTGGAGCTGTACTCCCCTGAATACTGGTTCTGCTGCCCAGTAACTGAACCTTAGTGTAAGTTATTTAAACCCTTTGTGTATCAGACTCGTCATTAAAAAAAAAAGTCCTAGTAATCACAACTGCTTCATAATTTTATTGAAAAATCAACTGAGTAAAACATGTAAGGCTCATAACACATGGAGTAAGAACTTAAGAAATGCGAGCTCTTATTTCTGTTTGCATTTTCATTTTAATTTTGAGATTTTTTCTACAAACATGATGTTTTCATTATATAAATAATAGTGTGCACAGTAAGACATGTAAACCCAACTGAGGGGTGTTTAGATGAATTGTAAGCACCCCTTCTCTCCAGCTTCTAGCTGAGCCAGTTAACTTCCTCTGAGGCAACAGCTCTCGACATTTTCTCATAGTTTCCCCAGAAATTTTCAGTGTGTGCCCTCTCATACCTGGAGTCACAGTCAGTCCCTCAGACTACAAACCCTAGACAAACTGCTATGCAAGAAATGCCACATCATCTTATTTTAACATCGACTTGAATTTCTGAGACTCCATCCTAAGAAAGTAGCTATCATTGTAACCTCACTCATTACCAAAGGCCACCCATGTCAACCCTTACTGACCTACCTACTCCAACCTTGACAAGAAATCAGGAATAGCCTGAGTAGTGTAAAATATTTCGGGGACCCTCAAATCTTCGGATCACACTTCTAACCCTAAGATGTTCACGGTCTCTGCTACCTTGGGCACTGTTGTCTCTGAGAAAATCTCCCTGGAGGATGCTTTCCTGGCACCCCCACTACCCCCTGCCAGCACACACAGTAATGGTGAGGGGGCTGCCTCAGGACACGTGGACCAGGAGGACCTTGGGTCCACTCTACCCACCTGTGGCCTCCATCATTCCCGGGCTCGTAGGCTTGGGCATATGTGAGATTTCTCCATTTGTGCTGTCTCTAACTCCCCAAAGACAATCCTCTCTCCTCCATCCCCTCAAGATGCCTGGAGGGTCTACTCAGTTAATGGACCCTTTTAGGAGCATTTTTCAGAAAGCAAGTAGGGTGGAGAAATGAAAACCAGGGCCTGTGCATCCCCTGAAAATCACAGTGAGTGGAGGATAGGCAGGGAGGAGCTCAGAGACTGAAAAACAACAGGGATCCCTGCTGGTGAGGCCCCAGCAGCAAACACAGAAGAACAATTCACAGAAACAAACGCTCTTGCTAGACTTCAGTTGGCATGTGTATGTTATACAGTATGTGTTATACATATTCCCTAGTATATAAGCCTGTTCATACTTATGAGCATGTGTATTATCTATAGCTATTATACACAGAACGAGAGAGAGAGAGTGTGAATTGATAATTTCCCCTAAGCAAATTATGGGGAAAAAAATGCAAAGTTTAAAAAACAAAGAGAGCTCTTGAGGGAGATCATGTTAAGTGTCAGAAAGTAATGGGAGAGAGGTAAGCTTTGTTTAAAACCATTTTACAAATGAAAATACTGAATTAAAAATAATCTGTTCAAAAGCCCAAATGCTAAGAAGCAGGATGTAAATTAATTATGATAGAGCCATATAAAGCAACACTGACCATTCATAAGCAAACTCTATATGACTAGTATATATTTTTAAAACAAATTTTACATATACAATTTATATATAAATTTGCTATATATATAGATTCTACCTATATATAATTGTATAATTTATATACTTAAAAATCATTTATTTATATATTTATAAATCATATTTATAATAGATAGAATCCATATAAATAGTAAATCTCAGAATACTATATAAGAAAAGATAATGTGAGTCCGGGGCATAGTTTCTCCATTTTATATTTGAAAATAAAATATATATCTCATAGCAACTGATTGTTAGTCCACAGAAAATAAAGAAAAATCCCTATGCTCAATTGAAAGTTGGGTTCCCTCATAACCACTGCAGCTTCTAGCCATGAGGAAGTTAACAAGAAGCAAACTTGATCCCTGGATATTTTTATAAGCAATTACATGTTTGCTATTGTAGTGGTCCCACGTTTTTATGGCTTCTCTGTCTATAGTAAAGTGAGTTGACTCTGAAGCATTTTTGGTTACAAAAAAAAATTCGGTTCGAGTTCATCACACTAGTTGATGAACTGCATCTCCAGAAATCATGTTTCATGTAATTTGCCGTAGCTATTTACATTCCAGCAGGGGGTGAATTAAAGGAACTGTTTCCTGTGATGTGCTGCTGTATAGTCAAAACAAGACCTATTTTGGGCTAATACTAAGAGTGATTCCAGTAAAATTATTTGACTTCAGCATCACCATTTCATACAAGAAACGGAATTGTCTCCTTCGTCCGATGAATACAGTGATAATAAGAGAATGGAAATTTGTGTAGGCATCTCAGTCTGTGGCCAAGGGTCTGTGCTCCTAGGGTGTATGGGGGAAGTGAGGCTGTGTGTTGTACTGAATACAGGAATGTAGGAGATGGTTCAAAAACCAGCATCTTTACCATTCTTGGCAGACGGAACTTTTGAGACAGCATTGATGTTATGTAATCTTGAAGGTGCTTCTCGTCTTGCGTGGTTGTACTGGCATGAGTTACCCAGCCCAGTCTCGCCCGTCTTCTCTAGGTGAGCAATTATGCACATTGAACAGCGTCCAAGTGCAATGACGGCACAGGGTGCTGTCCCTGAACCGAGGACAGCTCACTGGTCCTTGTAGAAAGTGAGCTCATGCCCCTGTCCTTGTGAGCATGAAGCCAATACGCTATTCATAGTCAGACAAGACAGTGCCTGCCAGAATAGTAGTGACTTCTAAAACCCTAAAGAGAAGGTGAAGCTGCAGGACGTGGCTTCAAATAACCTTTTGTTTACATGTTGTGGGAATGCTCAGTTGACTGTCACAAAGCGTTTATAATGTGTACCTCCTTTTTCACAGCACATACAGCCTTATATCTAAGGTGGATTTAACATTTTTTTCCAAGGGCTTGACTTAAGTCTATGACAAATTATCCTTTTTCTTGGAAGCAGAGCCTGAGTTGGTGACTTGTGTAGCAGGAGGTATTGGGAGTGTGCTTGGAATCGTCTGTAAGGCAGAGAAGGAAGTGGAGTTGGGTGGAGGGAGAGGTTGAACAGTGCCCAGTCACGACAGGTGCACAGTTAGTTCATTCAGGTTGCCGTAACAGAATATGGAGATAGAGTTGGCTTGGCGACAATGGAATTGTATCTCTCACAGTTCTGGGAAGTCCACGATCAAGGCAGTGGCAGATTTGGTGTCTGGTGAGGACCGTTTCCTGGTTCATAGATGGCGCCTTCTCACTGTGTCCTCACGTGGTGGACAGCGCAAGGCCACAAGCCTGGACATCCTTCACAAGGGCACTAATCCTGTTCACAGGGGCTCCACCCTCATCATGTCATCACGCTCTAAAGGCTGGCCCATCTCTGAAAACCATCAAATTTGAGGTTAGGTTTCAACTTAGGAATTTGGAGGGACACAAACAGTCAGACCACATCAGGTTCTTAGATAAGAGTCCCCAGCCTTTTTGGCACAAGGGACCGGTTTTAAGGTAGACAGTTTTTCCATGGACTGGGAGAGGTGATGATTTCAGGGTGACTGAAGTGCATTGCATTTACTGTGCACTTTATTTCTATTATTACAATGTAATGTGTAATAAAATAATTATACAACTCTCCATAATGTAGAATCATTGGGAGCCCTGAGCTTGTTTTCCTGCAACTAGACAGTCCCATCTGGGTGATGGGAGACAGTGACAGATCATCAGGTATTAGATTCTCATAAAGGGCATGCAGCCTAGATCCCTCGCATGTGCAGTTCACAATAGGGTTCACACTCCTAGGAGAATGTAATGTTGCTGCTGATCTGCTGGGAGGCAGAGCTCAGGTGGTAATGCTCCGTTGCCTGCTGCTCACCTCCTGCTGTGTGGCCCAGTTCCTAGCAGGCCATGGACGAGTACTGGTCCCTGGCCTGGGGGTTGGGAACCCTTGCCTTAAATGATGCTACAGGGAGGTCTGGAGCTAGGATGGCACTGTATAGTCTTCCAAACTGAAGCAATTGGGCCAGGCTTGGTGCCATTGACCATTGACATGGGTGGCCCCCAGGGAGGGACCAGAACACTGCTTGGGATGATTCCTGAAAAGAAATGCAGTGTGGGTCCCGAGCAGCTGGGAGGTGGGGGGGGGGGCCTGGATTCTGAAGAGAGCACCCAAATGGTGCCCTTGGGATCAAATACAGCCCAGCACTAGCACTGGTCAGTATTCTCCATCTGGAAACAGCTTCTCTAGGATTCTGACTGGCCTCGTTTCCTAGGAACACGTGTAACACACACTCACCTCACCGCCACCCTCCTGTCCGGCCCATGTGAGGATCTGCCTCCTTAGCTGGCCTCTCAGCTGGGCTAGTTGGCTTCTGCAGCAGGGCGATGCTGACCCAAGTCCTCACAGGGCCTCGGTCTCTGCTCACAGTGCACTGCTCAGGTGTGGCTGCTAGACTTGTCCGTGTTCTATCACACGTAAGAGAGTCCCCATGGATAAATCGTCCCACTCATCTGTATTGTCTCATTGGGGACAATGGCCCCAGCTTTTTCTCCTGATTAGGGCCAGTCCTCCTGCAAGGATGATGGCTGCTTCCATTACTGGTGAGGCCTTGGGCATGAGGATCTGGAAGATGCTGGGCCACAGGGATAGCTTACAGTTTCATGGGGCCCTTCCTCTTCCTGCTGATGGAGACAGCTCCCCTCTGAGAAGCAGGTTCTCTACAACCACATTGCCTAATTTGAGAGATCGGGGAGCAGAGATCTCAATCAGCTCCTGGGGTGGAGGTGAGACAGCTACTCCTGCTTCCCCTCCTCAGTTCCTGGCCCCATGTATTCCAGCCTCTGGGGACTGACACAGCATTATGGCCGTGGATTTAGGGTGAAGACCACATCCAGAGGACAGCAGCACATCCTTCCCAGCATACTCTCCAAGCTGGCTCCTCAGCCATGCCTTCAGAAGCGCATTCCCTCATTCTATCCAGCAAAAGCCTTCTGGACTTGCAGTCTGTGGCAGGAATGCCAGGTCTCGGGGTCAGTAGCCCTTGCATCTTCTTCTTTATTCTAAATTAAGGCCTTTGTTTGAGCACTTCCCTGAGAGGTGTGCAGCTATGAGCCCTCTCTAGCAGCCTCAGTTCCGCAGAGCGATGAGGGCCGCATCTGATGGTGGGACCTGAGTCTGCGGTGAGGCCCATGCAAGGGAAAGAGTCGTGTCACATGAACTCATGTGCTGTAAATTCAAATATCCTCTCAACGGGCTTTCCTGAGGACTGCCATTCCATTTAATATGCTAAAGAACAAACTTATTGTTACTGCCCTCCACATCCCTTGAAACAAAACTAGCCCTTCTATTCTTGGGACCACAAGTGGTCATGTCTGCCTTCCTGGTGCTTAGCTCTTTGCTTCTAGAACAAGCTTCCTGACCTGGGACTCACATCACAGCATTGTCTGTTCTTACCCAGAGTGCGGCATCATTGTCTAGCAGCCGGGGAAAATAATCTCCCTATATTCTTTGAGAATTTGGACAACAGATTTATAATTATTGTTTTTGTGTTATTTCTTCTTAGCGACATTGGTGGTTTATGATCCTGTTCTCTTTTTCTCCACGAATTTCGGTCAGTTCCGTCTAGTAAATATCCTTCTATCCCATCCCTCCTGTTTATCTTCATTCTCTTACCCTTAGTCGGCTTCCACAGTGTCCCCTCTAGGCGGCCTCTGTAGTGGTCGAAACTTCATTTCTCCCCGCTACTAAACTCTTCTATTTTGCTCACACACAGGGGTCCAGTCAGAATTATCTTTTTTAAAAAAATGAACATAGAGAGTGTTCCTACACTGTTTCAAATTGGTTGGAGCCTTCCCAGGGTCCACAGAATATTCTGTAAAGTGGTTTCCAGATTCCATCTTCATCTCTCACCACCACTCACATACACTTGATGTTTGTCCCATGGAACTTCCTGATCTTCAAATCTTCCTTTTTTCCTCTCTTTTACCTTTGCACACGTATCTCCCCAACAAGGATCATTCTTCTATGGACTCACCATGTAGATCATTTGCTGATCTTCCCGTCTCATCTCAGAGTTTACTTTCCCCAATAAGCCTCACATCCTAGATTATGTGATTTGCTGCTACACAATCCTATACCACCCTGAGCTGCCTCCATCCCAACAATTGTTTAATTGCCTTTCTTCCCAGGAGACAGAAGCTCTGGGAATGCAAGGACCTCTTTATGCCCCACACCTGTGCAGCTGTGCAGAAGCTGCAGGTTGTATAGCTGCATCCTTAGAGATGTGCAAAATGTGAGTGAGTGTCTTAGCCAGTTTCTGGACTGTTTAGATTTTTGTAGCATTATCATGGGCCATTTAACCCTTATCAATAATCTTAGGACCACTCCAGTTTTTTTTTAAGTCTTAGTTGAGTTTTTATACGTTTGAGGAATTATAGCCCAGTAGCCAATGAGTCAACACAGACTGTTTCTGGTTGTTGATGCTGCTCTGATTCCTGGACCCAAATCTGTTCATGTGCCGGCAGCCTCATTCTTGAGTGCTTGGGTCCCTGAATGATGACCTTTCGGAACCCAATTCCTGAAGTATATCCGGTGCCCTCTCTGGTTCTCTGAGTCCACCTCCCCTGGACCGTCCGGGAGTTACCCTTCAGTGGTGGGTGCTCTGCTGCTATTGGTTGAATTCCCCTGTTGGCAAAGGGATGCATTTCTGCACAGATCTCCCATGTACCTGCATTTATCATGTTCTCTGCTCTCATCCGTGTCTCCGACTGCCGCATGCGTGGAGATCACCCAGGGGTCTTCATAGACGGAGATTCAGGTCAGGGTGGGCTTAAAAGTGCATATTCCTGTGGCACTGGTGCTGCATTGCAAGGAAGTTGTATGAGAAGGATCCACCGTGCGATTCCCGTCATATTACGGCCGCTGTGTTGTGTACCCTGTGCCCCACGTCAGCCAGCAGGGTGAGGGACACACCGGCCTGTCTCTCCTCGCCTCACCCTGCTCACTCTGGTCCATGAGTCAGCCTCTTCGTGCACCTGTGGCTCCCGTGTGCCCCACCACGGTGCAGCCACCACAGAGCAAGTCACTGAATTTCTGCCCCTCTTCCAGATCACGTGTCCTCTCAAGAGCCACAGGGTGCTGTAGCACAGTGTAGCATGCTGTGTGCTTGCCATCCTGTGCCCATCCATCGTTCTCCCCCACACTGGCGCTCATGCCGCTTCCCTTCTCTCCGGGCGGGTCCTTCCTACCCTTGCGGGTAGGAAACAACCCTTCCCTTCCCCAAGGCCCAGCTTGAGAGCTGCACCTCTCTCCTGGACAGCTCACTGGGATGGAAATTCCTTCCAATGTTTCCCTGTGGCTACCAGCAGCAGCTCCTTTTTAGCTAAGGTAACAGTTTTCCTAGAGTGTTTTGTGTGTCCTCGAGTCCTTGAGAAAGAGCCCCATTTTATTCAATCCTGTTTCTCCAGACCATTGCAGAGCACACAATGTCTTCATCTTGGTGAGCCATTTAGTAACCAAAGATATTAAGAGCCATTTACAAACCAAATATATTAATAATTAAGTGTTTGAAGCTGAAATTAATAGATTATATGTGTTCATTGTTGCTATTGTTTTCTTTAGGTGAATTACCAGCTAGGCCAACTAGCGTTCCGTTGTCTTAACGCAAGACGAATAAGATGAACATAGGATTTTACTGAAACGATATTAAAACAAACAAGTAATAACAACAAACTATATATTAGAAAGATATTGAGTTTCCAGTCATCACCCTTTTTTGTTGACAGGGTTGGAGAGTTTGTATGAAGATATGCTGACATTCAGGACAGTCTTAACTTTAAGAAAAATATCAGAAGACCCATTGACTCTTGATTTCCATTTTTTTCTGAGTTATATTGCATGAATGAATTATAAGCACAGATTCCTCTTAATAATGTGAGATAAGCCATTATTAAATATTTAAATATATCAGCACATATGAGCCAGGAGAGCAGGTGGTGCCGGAGAACATTAAATTCTAACGCAGAAATTTGACATTTAAATTCCAGTGTTAGTGGCCCGTTAGCTCCAGCTACATTGCACTCTCCCTTCCCAACATGTATCCTCACAGATTACATGTCAAAGTAAACTGAGATAAGATGTAGTGGAAATGACACGGAGGTTAAGCGCTGCGGGGCTCACGTTAGAGCAAACTTCCTGGGAGACGTTCTCCAATCTGTATTTTAGTCTCAGGTAAGAATGAAAGTTCTGATAATGATATTTGCGAATTATGAAAGAGCTTGTGAAATTAACAAGGTGTACTTCTAGGTGATATTTTAGGCTCTGTAATTGGAATGAGCTTCCTATTTTTTTCCAGCCATATGGCTGCCTTCCTCATTTCTCATGTGTTCCATGAGTGTGTGAATGTGATAACATTCTCCCACATCTTTACCACTGGGATCCCTGCATCGGATACAACAAGGACCCACTTTTACAAACAGGTTTTTTCCTTTCAATTGGAATTTGTTGCTTTCAATTTTCTCATTACCTTTATTATTTTTCTTTGGTATTTCTGTTTCCTTTACGAGTTTTTATGATCTCAACAAGAGTCTTTGTTAAAATTTCTGAATTGTGTTGTCTTAGAAATGGATGATATTTTGCATTACTGATTTAAAAGTTATAGATGGGACTATTCTATTCTTGAAATTCATCCTGTGTTTTTTAAACCGCGTACATATCCTCTTGCCTCTAAGCCAGGAACGGCCAGGCGTGGCATGCGGTTTTGATGACTCAGCTCCAATGCGTTTCTTTTAGATCACCTCTTGCTTTAACATGTGAGCATGTGGAGCTCCGTTTCTTCTGCTTTTCTCTTGGGAAAGGGAGTGAGCAGAAAGAAAGTTTGTGCCATCTGAGACTGAGAATGAGAGAAACTGAAGAAGTTAGGCAGCTTCAGACTTTGGCAAAAAGGTTGTGATGTGAGCTGAAGGTCAGGGAGTGTAGGATGAGGGGTGAAGATGAGGGGTACAGGGCAAGGGAAACAGGTTCACGAGTCCAGGATGAGAGGTGCAGTGAGGAGGGCAGGATGAGGGGGTCCAGGTTAGGAGTCCACGATGAGGAGTCCAGGAAGAGAGGTACAGGATGAGGTGTTCAGTGACGAGTACGGGAGGAGAGGCCTGGGTGAGGGATTCAGAGGGAGGGGTCCAGGAAGAGAGGTGCAGAATGAGGGATACAGGTGAGGAGTACAGAATGAGGGGTACAGGTGAAGGGGTCCAGGATGAGATGTGCAAGGGAAGGAGTACAAAATGAGGGGCTATGGGATGAGGAAGTGCAGGATGAGGGTGTGTAGGGTGAGACAGTGCAGCAGGAGGGCTCCAGCATGAAGTGTAGAATACAAGGGGGGCAGGATAGTGCAGTGCTAGAGCTTAGCCAAGAGACCTGGGCTCGGGTTTCAGTTCTGCATCCAGTTTGTTCTGAATACCCCTGGCCTTTAGTAGCCTCATCTATAATGGGCAATGGGGATGGGTCATCTGCAGGCTTTCCTCCCACTTCTGAAAGAGAGAAATCAACAGCTCCAAATATTTCGTCTTTATGGGAAGCTCATTCCTGGAATGATTAGCAAGCTGAAGATGTGATTGCCACCTCTGATACTGAAACACGTCCACTAGGACTATTTCAATGCTAAATAGGATAGGAGAGAACGCAACTAGGTTTTGGCATAGTAGGAAGTAATGCAATGATGCTAAGTGAAAAACTGCGCCAACTTAGATAACCACAAAGCACATGGTGACATCATTCACAAGGCCTTCAGTGTTATGCATTTTCTAAATTGTATTAGAAAATAGGAGAGTAAGGGGTGGAGCCAAGATGGCCAAAGAGGAACAGCTCCAGTCTACAGCTCCCAGCGTGAGGGATGCAGAAGGTGGGTGATTTCTGCATTTCTAACTGAGGTACCTCGTTCATGTCACTGGGGAGTGTCGGACAGTGGGTGCAGCACACAAAGCATGAGCTGAAGCAGGGCAAGGCATCGCCCCACCTATGAAGAGCAAGCGGTCAGGGAATTCCCTTTCCTAGTCAAAGAAAGGGGTGACAGACGGCACCTGGAAAATTGGGTCACTCCCACCCTAATACTGTGCTTTTCTAAAGGTCTTAGCAAATGGCACACCAGGAGATTATATCCTGCACCTGGCTTTGAGGGTCCTACGCCCATGAAGGCTTGCTCATTGCTGAGACAGCAGTCTCAGATCAAATAGCAAGGCGGCGGCGAGGCTGGGGGAGGGGCACCCACCATTGCCCAGGCTTGAGTAGGTAAACAAAGCAGCCCGGAAGCTCGAACTGGGTGGAGCCCACCTCAGCTCAAGGAGGCCTGCCTGCCTCTGTAGACTCCACCTCTGGGGGCAGGGCATAGCCAAACAAAAGACAGCAGAAACCTCTGCAGACTTAAATGTCCCTGTCTGACATCTTTGAAGAGAGTAGTGGTTCTCCCAGCATGCAGCTTGAGATCTGAGAACAGACAGACTGCCTCCTCAAGTGGGTCCCTGACCCCTGAGTAGCGTAACTGGGACGCATCCCCAGTAGGGGCAGTCTGACACCTCAGATGGCCAGGTACTCCTCTGAGACAAAATTTCCAGAGGAAGGATCAGGCAGCAGCATTTGCTGTTCAGCAATATCCACTGTTCTGCAGCCTCTGCTGCTGATACCCAGGCACACAAGGTCTGGAGTGGACCTCCAGCAAATTCCAACAGACCTGCAGCTGAGGGTCCTGACTGTTAGAAGGAAAACTAACAAACAGAAAGGACATCCACACCAAAACCCCATCTGTACATCACCATCATCAAAGACCAAAGGAAGATAAAACCACAAAGATGGGGAAAAAACAGAGCAGAAAAACTGGAGACTCTAAAAATCAGAGTGCCTCTCCTCCTCCAAAGGAAAGCAGCTCCTCACCAGCAATGGAGCAACGTTGGACAGAGAATGACTTTGATGAGTTGAGAGAAGAAGGCTTCAGATGATCACACTACTCCGAGCTAAAGGAGGAAGTTTGAACCCATGGCAAAGAAGTTAAAAACCTTGAAAAAAAATTAGACGACTGGCTAACTAGAATAACCAATGCAGAGAAGTCCTTAAAGGACCTAATGGAACTGAAAACCATGGCAGGAGAACTACCTGATGAATGCACAAGCCTCAGTAGCCGATTCGATCGATAGAAAGAAAGGGTATCAGTGATGGAAGATCAAATGAATGAAATGAAGCGAGAGGAGAAGTTTAGAGAAAAAAGAATAAAAAGAAACAAACAAAGCCTCCAAGAAATATGGGACTATGTGAAAAGACCAAATCTACATCTGATTGGTGTACCTGAAAGTGACGGGGAGAATGGAACCAAGTTGGAAAACACTCTGCAGGATGTTATCCAGGAGAACTTCCCCAATCTAGCCAGGCAGGCCAACATTCAAATTCAGGAAATACAGAGAATGCCACAAAGATACTCCTCGAGAAGAGCAACTCAAAGACACATAATTGTCAGATTCAGCAAAGTAGAGATGAAGAAAAAATTTAAAGGGCAGGCAGAGAGAAAGGTCGGGTTACCCACAAGGGGAAGCCCATCAGACTAACAGCTGATCTCTCCGCAGAAACTCTACAAGCCAGAAGAGAGTGGGGGCCAATATTCAACATTCCTAAAGAAAACAAGTTTCAGTCCAGAATTTCATATCCAGCCAAACTAAGTTTCTTAAGTGAAGGAGAAATAAAATCCTTTACAGACAAGCAAATGCTGAGAGATTCTGTCACCACCAGTCCTGCCCTAAAAGAGCTCCTGAAGGAAGCACAAAACATGGAAAGGAACAACCGGTACCAGCCACTGCAAAAACATGCCAAATTGTGAAGACCATTGATGCTAGGAAGAAACTGCCTCAACTAACAAGCAAAATAACCAGCTAACATCATAATAACTGAATCAAATTCACACATAACAATATTAACCTTAAATGTAAATGGGCCAAATGCTCCAATTAAAAGACACAGACTGGCAAATTGGATAAAGAGTCAAGACCCATCAGTGTGCTATATTCAGGAGACCCATCTAACGTGCAGAGACACACATAGGCTCAAAATAAAGAGGTGGAGAAAGATCTACCAAGCAAATGGAAAACAAAAAAAGGCAGGGGTTGCAATCCTAGTCTCTGATAAAACAGACTTTAAACCAACAAAGATCAAAAGAGACAAAGAAGGCCATTACATAATGGTAAAGGGATCAATTCAACAAGAAGAGCTAACTATCCTAAATATATATGCACCCAATACAGGAGCACCCAGATTCATAAAGCAAGTCCTTAGAGACCTACAAAGAGACTTAGAGTCCCACACAATAATAATGGGAGACTTTAACACCCTACTGTCAACATCAGACATTTCAACAAGACAGAAAGTTAACAAGGATATCCAGGAATTGAAGTCAGCTCTGCACCAAGCAGATCTAATAGACATCTACAGAACTATCCCCCCCAAATCAATAGAATATATATTCTTTTCAGCACCATACCACACCTATTCCAAAATTGACCACATAGTTGTAAGTAAAGCTCTCCTCAGCAAATGTAAAAGTACAGAAATTATAACAAACTGTCTCTCAGACCACAGTGCAATAAAACTACAATTCAGGATTAAGAAAGTCTCTCAAAACTACTCAGTTACATGGAAACTGAACAACCTGCTCCTCAATGACTACTTGGTACATAACGAAATGAAGGTAGAAATAAAGATGTTCTTTGAAACCAATGAGAACAAAGACACAACATACCAGAATCTCTGGGACACATTCAAAGCAGTGTGTAGAGGGAAATTTATAGCACTAAATGCCCACAAGAGAAAGCAGGCAAGATCTAAAATTGACATCCTAACATCACAATTAAAAAAACCAGAGAAGCAAGAGCAAACACATTCAAAAGCCAGCAGAAGGTGAGAAATAACTAAGATCAGAGCAGAAGTGAACGAAATAGAGACACAAAAAACCCTTCAAAAAAAATGAATCCAGGAGCTGGTTTTTTGAAAAGATCAACAAAATTGATAGACTGCTAGCAAGACTATAAAGAAGAAAAGAGAAAAGAATCAAATAGAAGCAATAAAAAATGAAGGGGATATCACCACCAATCCCATGGAAATACAAACTACCATCAGAGAATACTATAACCACCTCTATGCAAAAGAACTAGAAAATCTAGAAGAAATGGATAAATTCCTCGACACATACACTCTCCCAAGACTAAACCAGGAAGAAGTTGAATCTCTGAATAGACCAATAACAGGCTCTGAAATAGAGGCAATAATTAATAGCTTACCAACCAAAAAAAGTCCAGAAACGGATGGATTCACAGCCGAATTCTACCAGAGATACAAGGAGGAGCTGGTACCATTCCTTCTGAAACTATTCCAATCAATAGAAAAAGAGGGAATCCTCCCTAACTCATTTTATGAGGCCAACATCATCCTGATACCAAAGCCTGGCAGAGACACAACAAAAAAAGAGAATTTTAGACCAATATCCCTGATGAACATCGATGCAAAAATCCTCAATAAAATACTGGCACACCAAATCAAGAAGCACATCAAAAACCTTATCCACCATGATCAAGTGGGTTTCATCCCTGGGATGCAAGGCTGATTCAACATACCCAAATCAATTAACATAATCCAGCATATAAACAGAACCAATGACAAAAACCACATGATTATCTCAATAGATGCAGAAAAGGCCTTTGACAAAATTCAACAACACTTCATGCTAAAAACTCTCAGTAAATTAGGTATTGATGGGATGTATGTCAAAATAATAAAACCTATCTATGACAAACCCACAGCCAATATCATACTGAAGGGGCAAAAACTGGAAGCATTCCCTTTCAAAACTGGCACAAGACAGGAGTGCCCTCTCTCACCACTGCTATTCAACATAGAGTTGGATGTTCTGGCCAGGGCAATCAGGCAGGAGAAGGAAATAAAGGGTATTCAATTAGGAAAAGAGGAAGTCAAATTGTCCCTTTTTCCAGATGACATGATTGTATATTTAGAAAACCCCATTGTCTCAGCCCAAAATCTCCTTAAGCTGATAAGCAACTTTAGCAAAGTCTCAGGATACAAAATCAGTGTGCAAAAATCACAAGCATTCTTATAAAACAATAACAGACAAACAGAGAGCCAAATCATGAGTGAACTCCCATTCACAATTGCTTCAAAGAGAATAAAATACCTAGGAATCCAACTTACAAGGGATGTGAAGGACCTCTTCGAGGAGAACTACAAACCACTGCTCAATGAAATAAAAGAGGAGACAAACAAATGGAAGAACATTCCATGTTCATGGGTAGGAAGAATCAATGTCGTGAAAATGGCCATACTGCCCAAGGTAATTTATAGATTCAATGCCATCCCCATCAAGCTACCAATGACTTTCTTCACGTAATTGGAAAAAACTACTTTAAAGTTCATATGGAACCAAAAAAGAGCCCGCATCGACAAGTCAATCCTAAGCCAAAAGAACAAAGCTGGAGGCGTCATGCTACCTGACTTCAAACTATATTACAAGGCTACCGTAACCAAAACAGCATGGTACTGGTTCCAAAACAGAGATATAGACCAATGGAACAGAACAGAGCCCTCAGAAATAATGCCATATATCTACAAGTATCTGCTCTTTGACAAACCTGACAAAAACAGGAAATGGGGAAAGGATTCCCTATTTAATAAATGGTGCTGGGAAAACTGGCTAGCTATATGTAGAAAGACGAAACTGAATCCCTTCCTTACACCTTATACAAAAATTAATTCAAGATGAATTGGACACTTAAATGTTAGCCCTAAAACCATAAAAACCCTAGAAGAACACCTAGGCAATACCATTCAGGACATAGCCATGGGCAAGGACTTCATGTCTAAAACACCAAAAGCAATGGCAACAAAAGCCAAAATTGACACATGGGATCTAATTAAACTAAAGAGCTTCTGTGCAGCAAAAGAAACTACCATCAGAGTGAACAGGCATCCTACAGAGTGGCAGAAATGTTTTGCAATGTACTCATCTGACAAAGGGCTAATATCCAGAATCTACAATGAACTCAAACAAATTTACAAGAAGAAAACAAGCAACCCCATCAAAAAGTGGGCGAAGGATATGAACAGACACTTCTCAAAAGAAGACATTTATGCAGCCAAAAGAGACGTGAAAAAATGCTCGTCATCACTGGCCATCAGAGAAATGCAAATCAAAACCACAATGAGACACCATCTCACACCAGTTAGAATGGCAGTCATTAGAAAGTCAGGAAACAACAGGTGCTGGAGAGGATGTGGTGAAATAGGAACACTTTTACACTGTTGGTGAGACTGTAAACTAGTTCAACCATTGTGGAAGTCAGTGTGGCGATTCCTCAGGGATCTAGAACTAGAATTACCATTTGACCCAGCCATCCCATTACTGGGTATATACCCAAAGGATTATAAATCATGCTGCTATAAAGACACATGCACACGTATGTTTACTGTGGCACTATTCACAATAGCAAAGACTTGGAACCAACCCAAATGTCCAACAATGATAGACTGGATTAAGAAAATGCGGCACATATACACCATGGAATACTACGCAGCCATGAAAAATGATGAGTTCATGTCCTTTATAGGGACATGGATGAAGCTGGAAACCATGATTCTCAGGAAACTATCACAAAGACAAAAAAAAAACAAACACTGCATGTTCTCATTGATAGGTGGGAATTGAACAATGAGAACACATGGACACAGGAAGGGGAACATCACACACCAGGGCCTGTTGTGGGGTGTGGGGAGGGGGGAGGGATAGCTTTAGGAGATATACCTAATGCTAAATGACGAGTTAATGGGTGCAGCACACCAACATGGCACATGTATACATATGTAACAAACCTGCACGTTGTGAACATGTACCCTAAAACTGAAAGCATAATAAAAAAAAAAATAGGAGAGGCTTGTATGCAACCATGTGTATGGGTAGGAAGATCTGAAACTCCTGATTAGGTCATGACAGAGAAAGACCATGAAGTCAGTTGGTCAACGGAGATGTTAAGGCCCATCTTATCAGAGGCTGGAGGCCGCCTGAGTGTAAGAGACCCACAGTCAACGTTCGTCATCGAAGCAAATCCTGATGTGCAGGACACATACATGAAAGTGAAACAGTCAGCAAACCAGATGATTTTCCGAATTTCGTATGTGTCTCAACCAGGGAAGGAGAGGCTCCTGAGGACCACATCGATGAGGAGGAGCTGGTGACCCTCTCTCCCGTCTGGCTTTTCCACTTTAAAACGCTTGATTATGGCAAGCTGTGTGAGTCTTAAGACTGGAGCAATAGTTTTTCTTAAATGTCCTAATGTTTAAATGTCTGAAATAATTAGAAACTTTACAACGTGAGGCTTAAAACTTTACATGAATTTATATGGATATAAATGTTGCTCTCGGCTAGGTGCAGTGGCTCATGCCTGTAATGCTGGCACTTTGGGAGGCCAAGGTGGGAGGATCACCTGAGGTCAAGAGTTTGAGACAGGCCTGACCAACATGGTGAAACCCTGTCTCTACTAAAAATACAAAAATTAGCCAGGCATGGTTGCAGTCACCTGTAATCTCAGCTACTTGGGAGGCTGAGGCAGGAGTATTGCTTGAACCCAAGAGGCAGAGTTTGCAGTGAGCCAATATTGTGCCATTGCACTCCAGCCTGGGCAACAAGAGAGAAACTCCATCTTAAAAAAAAAAAAAATTGCTGTCATGAGAGGTATGTTCATTTTGTTCTTCACCACAGAGAAAATATAGCATAAGAAAAAATTCACTTTCCGAGTCCAGGACATCCTTAGGCATGGTGGGAGCCTGGGGTTTCCTCTGACTTGGCAAAGCCAACCCATGAGACATTGTCACATAACAGAGGGGTAGAGAAAACAAGATTATATTGAGTTTGTGCTGATTTGGATTCACATTTTTAAAAGCAAAGAAGCTGAGTTTAGTCTCTCAGATATTTTTCAGAATAAGCCTGTTTAATTTTAACTTCCCTCTACAATTCTTCAGGTTTATGCTATTTTGATGCAAATAATTTAAGAACTGATTCCCCCCACCAACTAATTTCAAGACGCAAACTCAAAGATTAAGTGTATTACAAGTGCTTTGCATGTTGCTTTGTGCTGTGTAGAACTCATGGATTGGAAGACAGGCAACAAGTTTTCATGTGATCCTTTCCCATTTCCTTTGAAGTAAACTTTTCTGCCTCCTACTAATACGTGTTTGATTTCTGTTTATATGTGATTGTTTACATCCATTGCGATTGGCTGTCACCTTCTTTCCTACATTTACTCTTGGGGGAAGGTGGCTCATTCATACATAGGGAGGTGCTTCTTCTGGAATAGAATTATGCCTGCGTAAGTTTTCCAAAATTAGTGGAGAGTGGAGACAATTATCCATGAAGTTGTGTCATTTAGACATATAACTGAGAATAAGTCACTCACTATTGCCTGAAGTGTCTAAAGCTTTTCTCTGTAATGCATCCCTCTGTGGTGTGCAGGAGTGAGCTCAGCCTAGAGGACTCTCGATGCTGCAGTTCCTGAAGGTCATGGGTCATGCCCACTTGGCCTCCACTCATGCTGCCCCGCTCCTTGCCCCACACTCTCACCTTTGCATGGCATGTGGTCCTTTTATTAGTACTCATGGACTTACAGCAACTCCTACAAACCTTCACTTTTCTTTAAACCTTCATTAATAAACCCACAGCAGCCTCTCTCCAAGTTTTCAGGGAAAAAGTCACCTTTTTTGTACAGCAAGAACATCTCTTCTTTGCTCCTCCACAGTCATCTTCATTGCTCCTTCTTCCTTCCCTTCCTTCCTTCCTTCCTTCCCTTCCTCCTCCCTCCTCCCCCTCCCTTCCTCCCTTCTTCCTTCTTCCTTCCTCCCTCCCTCCCTCCCTTGCTCCCTTCCTTCCTTCCTTCCTTCCCACCAGTTTCAGAAAGATGTGTGTCCCTCTTTTGTCCAAGGATGGTCTTGAGATCAATCCTCTTCTCCCTTTTGAGAGTTGGCCCCATCAGGAAACACAGACAGGCTTTTTATTTGTTCTGTCTTCACTATCTACTCCCCCAATTCAGGCTCCCTGTATCCCTCACTTGGATTGACAGCATCATGCTAATATTCTCTTACCCTTCTATCTTATTTTTAGGATTATATCTCTGTTATTAGAAATCCTGTGTATGACACAAGAGGCTTGTTTGTATCCAGGGTTAGGAGGTCCCAGTGGTATCAGGACTCTCATTTCCTCAGCTCTGCTTTCTTTTCTTGAGGCTCTGTCCCATGTGGGGTGTCTGTAAATGACAGAGAAAATAGCTTCCAGCTCCTCTGGGGTTACATTGCTCTTACAGTTCATGGCCTTGAGGAACGAAGAGTAAAGACACCTCCGATGGCCTCCATCTCAAACCCAAAAATGGCCCCAAGTGGTCCTGCTCAATTCTGCACCCTCCATCCACTGCCACATCCAGGAACACGGAGAACCTGACTGGCCACTCCAAGTGACCTGTCCATCCCTGCAACAGGGCTGAAGCAAACCCCCAGGAAGTGGGAGCAGAGCCCTTCCAACCAGGAGAAATAAAGCAGCAAAGAATGCACACACTGCTTTAAAAGAAGCCAAATGATCACATGTGCAGGGGCTAATCCTACGGAACCTCTGACCCTTCCTGTCGCCCTCTGTGAACAGTGGTTCCGGGTGCCACCTGTCCCACACCAGCCGCACAAAGTACACTGCCTGCACTTCCCATTCCTCTGCAATATGCATCGCTCTTACCCTAAATACTTTTCATTTTCCACTTTATCTAAAAATACCTCCTAAAGTGGTTTATCTTTGGGTAAAACCTAAGCCATCTTTTTTTTTCTTCTTTTATTCATTCCTTTCCCTTTTTCTGAGACTCAGTTACTGATCTCCACTGCTAAACTGAATTAGGATTTTTATTTCATTAAAATATTTAATTCTATTGAAATTGTGTCATAAAAAAGTGTGCTGCTATTTTCTGTTAATTTGTGTTTGATAGATGCAGACGCATGCTGGTTCATCATTTTTCTTTGCCATAGAGTTCTTTTCATCTTTTCATCAGTGCCCGTGGCTCTTTGATCATGTCTGTTGTGCTTTTGATGTTTTCTTAATCCTTTTATTAATGAGGTACTCAAAATATAACAACTGATGTTACGCTGTGTTTTAATTTTATTAAGAATTTTCTGTCTTCCTGAAAATGAAATAACATTTCACCAATTCCTTTATTCTTTACATCTTCAACTCCTTTGTTAACAAGTCACTATGTGTGAGCAGACAACATGCTAATTATTTCCTTTCTTCCCCCAACTCAATTAGTGCTTTAATTTCTCTTACAAGTTCTTAAAGTTAGAAAAAGAAATGCTAATGAAACCAGCTAGAAGTCAAAAATAATAACTTGAGCACCACCCATACATATTTATATTTCCAACAGGTTCCATTTCATCGACGTCAGGATTCCGAAGTCTAGATAACCTCATCCTATGCATTTTTGCACTTTATAAGTAAAATAGTTTTCAAGAATGGCATGTGTTCCTATTTACCTTTTACTTTTTACCAGATTTTTTTCCTAACTAGATTCCCCAAACAGCGTTTCTTTTGTCTACACAGAGTGAAACCTTTGTTAGGAGAATCTGTTTACCCGTGGAGAGGAAGCTGTGGTTTATCCTGTCACTACCTGCACTCTATCCTTGAGTTTGCTTTTTGTTTCTAGCATGACCATGAACTACTCAGTAATTAATTCTCTGATCATCAGTTTCATTATCTACAAAGTAGGAATCATAACTGAGTTTTTGTCAGGATACATTGTATTAAAACAGAGAGGACAGATCCTCAGTTGAAAGCCATATTTACATTTGTGTATTTTGCAAACAGTCTATGTAAATTTGTGACTTGCCTGATGGAAAATGATCTGAAAAGGTAAAGAAAACTAATTTTACAATAGCCCATGCAGCACACGTTTCCGATTTCTGAGAGTCTGTCCCTCTTCCAAGGACTAGGAGTGCTTCAGAAAGTGCATTCACGATTTTTTTCTCCCTCATCCTCTTTTCTTTTTCTCCCTGGGGCCATGGCAATTTCCTTTCTTGCAGTCAATTCTATTACAACAAACTTCTCAAATTAGTTTTTAGTCCATTTCAACTTTACTGTTATCTTTCCAGACTGTTCACCTTCTTGTCAAAAATGTAATTATCAATCCGGGCCCGGGACAGTATTTTTGACTTTCCATTACATTCCCTTCTCCCTCTGTTGTGCCCAGAACAAGCAGTCATTTCATCGTTGCCTCTCTGTCTCTCTGTACAATCTTCTTTGGAGTCAAGATGATAGATCTCAATTTTACGCTTTTGCTATTTCTATAACATACCATCTTGAATTATACTCTTTCTTTCAAGGATATAATCCCTCAGTTGCCTTTGGGTGTTATGTTTTGTCTTTTCTCAAAGTTTTATCCTCTTACTGTTTACATGGCTTTGTTCTTGTTCTTGTGGACTTTATTCGAATAAATCAGAACTCCTCATTTGCTACATGGCCTTGTTTCCTCTCGTCCCCTCTAGTTCCGACGTATTTCTACCTTGGTTATTACAGCTGTCTCCCAAGTGAATGGCCTCTCTTCTGGCCTTCTTTATTGTGGTCTGTGATGCACTGATTCATCATCCGCACTTTCATAAGAAGTCTGTTCTATTAAAAAAAAATGTGTAATGAAAAGAGTTGTGCACATTGCAGCTATAGAGGCTTGGTTCCATCTGCTCGAGCTGTGTGTTTAAGTTGACCTCACTTTGTAATTCACTTTCTCTTTCTGAGAACTATCTGCAAGTAGGCACAGTCATATCTGCCTCTTGAGTGTTTGTGAAAATAAGATGGTAACATATATGTATACACGTCAATCTGCAGAATGTGATAGGTACCCAGGATATATTAGTACCCTTACCTTAGTGACGTCCCCAAAATTATAACTTCTTCTTCCACCAGTGAAACCCAGAGAACGTAACCCAGACTACTGAAAATGGCTTCCTTTTCCTTCATGATGAGGTGATAAAAGAATTATTAAAAGTGTACTGTGTTATGATTGTGATTGTTTGATGTAGGTTGTAAGTATATTAGTTTATATGTTGCTCCTATTTTCTGTTTTTCTTTTTCCCTGTTGAATTTGCCATAGTAGACATTTTGCCGATTGCATCTCCAGAGTGTTTAAGAAAGTTTCTGTGACTTGGCACTGGATAAAGAGGCTTGGACAGGTTCGAGTTTGAGTTTTTCTGACATGAGGACTTCATAGCTAGTGGTGTTTTCTCCCATCAGGAGACGGGGTGACTGACGTGCACTGACCAGCTGTGTTTATTGACTAAATGCCACAAATCGATAGTATTCTGATTCTGTTGCTTCTTTTTGTATTTACTTGCTGAGGTTCTCCTATAAAAGAAGCATATTATTTGGTTGTCTGGTGGCAAAGTTGATAGGCAAGACAGGATAAATGTGGCCTTTTCAGTTTATTACATTACATTTATATATTACATTCAGAATAGGAAGTTTTCATAGCCTCCTCAGCCTCAGGCCTATCACCATTTCCACTGCATACTTTTGTTTGGGTGTTAAGGCAGGGACGGTCCTGTGACTGTAGGTTTTTAGGAGCATCATTGGCCTTGACCCACCAGATACCAGTAGCATCCTCACCCTCAGTGTGCAAATACCAATGCCTCCAGACATTGCCAAATGTCCCAATGAGGGGAGAGAAGATGGTAGCAAAAGTTCTACTGGTTGAGCACTACTGCTCTACAGTAATTTCTTTTATTGTTTTGTATTGTTAGGAAAGAACTCATGAATTTAAAACAGTCTGATGATTTTCAATCTATGGAATGTATTATCTTTGTTGATGCTAAAATTGTGCTAATTTTGCCTTTTAGTGTGTTCTTGACTCCTGAGTCGATGATAGCTTCTTTGCCATCCAGTGGGATAAACCATTCCAAATTTATCTTGTGTAATTTCTGCTTCAAACCTGAAATTAGTCATCCAGCCCAGTGATTCTTGGCTTCCTTGAATGGCAAATGATATTTCAACATTATGATCTGGACACTTACAATATTAATCACTGCTTGATTTCTTGTTCTTTCTGGGCCCTTTCACTCGATAGGGAGTGAGTGTGTATGTGCGTGTGTGTGTGTATAGAACAAAGAGACAAGATTTCATGCTGATACGCCTGATTCACATTCAGCACTGCAAGGTTTTTTCTCATGTCTTCCATTGTATATCTGTAGTCCTTTCCTCACCCAGTGTCCCCGCTCTCAGTAACTCTGATAAAGGTGGAATTAGAATATCTCATAATTTCTCAGTTGCTGTATCTTACAACACAGACGTGAAAAATTTGAAAGCAATACCAACATTTCCATATGCATCAGTAGTGCTGAAAACAATCTAAAATGGTTTTGCATTCATGTTTACACTTCATGTCTCCCAATCAAATTACTGTATTTCAAGGTCCTTTAAAGCTGTCCATTGCTAGATTCACAATTAGATTTACTTCTTTAAACATTTTAGATTGCTTTAAAATAATTTTGTTTTATTGTGATATACAAAGATTTGCATACTTTGATATTCCACAGTCAACTCTGCAAAGGTAGGTATAATTTGAAGGTCTCACTTCTGCTTCCTTCTCTTCTAAACTGTTTCACTTTCCCCCTGTAAATACTAATTTGTAGAATTGTTCTGGTTCATTCTTGCTTTTAAGAAACAGACGCACACATATGTAGATATCTCTATATATAGATATTAGATGTTTGTGTCAACCCGCCTCCCAAATTGGGTAAGCAGTAATGTGTTTTAGGCTCTATTTTTTTTCTATCTAATGAATTCTGGAGCTCATTCTATAGTAGCTTGCTCTCTTTCTCTTTCTCTCTCTCTCCTCTTTCTCTGGCTGTACAGCACTCCACAGAGTAGATGGAGAGGCCACAGTTTATTCAATCAGTCTTCCAACCCATCTATTGATGAGCTCTTTCCAGTTCTTTGCTATAAGAAATAGTCTGACATGAATAGCCTTGTGCGTGTATCCTCTCACATTTTTTTGCAGCAGAAGGTGACACGTGGTGTGCAGTGTACACTGCTCACTAGTGGATGTCTGCTAGAAAAGGCATCATAAGTACAAATGCAAGTCCATGGCCTTGATTTGATAATTAGTCACATATACAAACTCATATTCATTGTAATTATCATTTTAAACAGAAATATGCAAGTTCCTATAGAAAGAGGACAATTTTAATGATTTAAATTAATAAAACCATGTTTAAAGAAAAATTGACAGCAATTCTACACATACTCAGAAAATAGATGGGGGAATACTTCACAAGTAATGTGTGAAGTTATAATATTCTGAGGCCAAAACCAGGTACAGACATAACAAAAAAAAAATCTATGTACTAATATCTCTCATAAATATAGACACAAAAATTCTTAATGGTAGCAAATAGAATTCAAATATATATGTACGTGTGTATGTGTGTGTATATATACATGCATATGCAGTCATGCATTGCTTAACAACAACAGGGATACGTTCTGAGATGTGTTGTTAGATGATTTCAACAGTATGCAAACATCGTGGAGTGCACTTACACAAACCCAGATTGTATAGCCTGCTACCCACCTGGGATATATGGTACAGCCTATTGTTCCTAGGCTCCAAACCTGTACAGCATGTGACTGTAATACTACAGGCAATTGTAACAAGAAGTAACATTTGTGTATCGAACATATGTAAACATACAAAAGGTACAGTAAAAACACTGTATAAGAGATAAAAAAGTGGGACATCTGTATAAGGTACTTACCATGAATAGAGCTTGCAGGATGGGAAGTTGTTCTGGGTGAGTCAGTGAGTGAGTGATGGCTGAAATTGAAGGCCTAGGACATTACCATACACTGCTGTAGACTTATAAACACTGTGAACTTAGGCTACAGTACATTTATTTATAAAATTTATTTCTTCAATAATAAATTAACCTTAGCTTACTGTAACTTTTTTACTTTATAAACCTTTTCATTTTTTAAAATTTTTTATTGTTTTGCTATAACATTTAGCCTAAAACACATTGTACAGTTGCACAAAAATATTTTTATAGTCTTCTTCTGTAAACATTTTTTATTTTAATTTTGTATTTTTTTTTTTACTTTTTAAAATTTTTTGTTTAAAATTTTTGTTTAAAACTAATACACAAACACACAAAACATAGCTTAGGCCTACACACTGTCTTCCGCCTCCACATCTTGTCCCACTGGAAAGTCTTCGGGGCAATACCACACATGAATGAAGCTCTCATGTTCAGTGATCTCAATGCCTTCTTCTGGATACCTCCTGACGGACCTGCCTAAGGCTGTTTACAGTGATTTTTTTTTAATGTAAGTATAAGGAGCATAGTCTAAAACAGTGATGGATAGTATAGCATAGTAAATATATAAAGCAATGTCATAGTCACTTATTATTATCAAGTGTTACCTGCTGTGTACAGTTGCACTGCTCCGCTTTCACATGGCTGGCAGCACAGTAGGTTTATTTACACCAGCATCACCAGGAACACATGCGCAATGCATTGTGCTATGATCAATGGCTACTATGTCATTAGGTGATAGGAGGTTTTTAACTACATTATAATCTTATGGGACCATTGTATACATGATCCATCATTGATTGAAATGTCCTTACGTGGTACAGGATTTTGTGTGTGTGTGTGTATATATATATATATATATGAAATTATATGCCATAAGCAAATGAAGTGTTTTCCTTGTAGGAATGAAAGACTGTTCAATATTTCAAAATCAATGTCATTTATTAAATTAACAGGATAAAGAAGAAAAATCACATGTTTATATCAGTCGATGCACAAAAAGCATTTGACAAATTCAACACCCCTATTAGTTTCCTAAGGAAACTAACCACCACAAATGTACTGTTTGAAAACAATACAAATTCAGTCTCTCAAAGCTCTGGAGGCCACAAGTCCAAAATCAAGGTGTCAGCAAAGCCATGCTCCCTGCCAGATCTCCCGGGGAGAGAAACCATTCCCAGCCTTTTACAGCTTACAGTGTCTCCTATGCTCCTCAGCTAACAGTGGCACCGCTGGAACTCCTACCTCTGTCTTCATATCACATGTTTCTCTTGGTGTCTGTTTTCTCCTCTATGTGTTTCATACAAAGGCATTCGTATTTTGGATGTGGGGACACCAACATAATCCAGGATGATCTAATCTCAGGATGTTTAACTACATTCCATCTGCAAAGACCCATTTTCCAAATAAAATCACAGTCACCACGTCTGGGGACAAGGGAGTGGACATGTCGTTATCGGGGGCCACCATCAAGCCTGCTGTAACGTCTGTTCATGACAACGTCTCAGCAAGGCAGGAGGAAATGGGTCGTCCTCAGTTTGTGATAAAGAGCACTTACAAAACAACAAAACAAAACAAAAAAACACTTAGAATTAACCTTACTGATGAAAGACTGGATGTTACCCCCTAAGAGTAAGAACCCACCAAGGATATCCACTCTTCCCATTCAGTATAGTGCTGGAAGCTCAAGTCCATTCAAAATTGCAAGGATAAGAGAAACAGGGCATACAGATTGCAAAGAAAAACAGTAAACCTGACTCTACTTGCAAGTAACGTGATCGTCTAGATAGAATTTCCCAAAGAATTCACAGATAAACTCTTAGAGCCAAGAACCCAGTTTGGTGACTTCACAGGATACAGGATGAACAACAACAACAAAATCTACTGTATTTCTATATAATAATATGAACACGTGAACACCCAATTTCTTTAAAATACAATTTATAATCACTCAAAACAATGTAATATGTGGAAATCTAAAGAAAACTGTATATGTATAGGACTCATAGACTGAAAACTATACAATGCTATTGAAAGAAACCAAAGATCAAAATAAGTAGAGAGATATAGTATGTTCATGTATTGGGACACTCAGAGTAAAGATCTCAAATCTCCCAAATTGATATACAGTTTAATGCACCTGTTATAAGAATCTCAGCAAATATGTTTTGTAGATATGAACAAGATTATTCTAAAATGTGTATGAAAATGTAGAGGAACTGGAATAGCTAAAGTAATTTTGAAGAACAAAATTGAGTGGGAAAAGCACCTTACCCAATTTCACTGCATATTATATAGCTCCAGTAATCAAGACCATGTGGTGTTGGTGGAAGGGCAGACACAGAGATTAATGGAATGGAATAGAAAGCCCAGGAATAAACCCACAGAAGATGCCCTCCTGGTTTTTGGTAAAGGGGCCAAAGCAATTCAATGGAGGAAGAATAGTCTTTTCAGTGAATGGCTCCAGGACAACTGGACATACATAGGCCAAAAATGTGCCTCCATGTGAATCTCACATCTTTTACAAAAATCTACTCAAAATGGATAATAGACTTAAATGTAAATGTAAACATATAAAAGTTTTAGTAAAAGATATGAGGAAATATTTGCAATCTGAGACTAGGCAAATATTTCTTAGACTTGTCCCCCAAAACATAATTCATCAATTGGAATTATTTACCAAATAATTGATTATTACCTTATCAAAATGAAAAACATCTCGGAGAAAAATCATATAAAGAACTTGAAAAGATAAGCTGTAGACTGGAAGATAACATTTTCAAACCACGTATCTGATAAGAACTCATAAAGAACTCTTAAGACTCTACAATTACACACACACACACAGACACACACACACAGATACACACACAGAGTCACAGAGTTAGGATATGTTCAGAAGACCTTTCACCAAAGAACATGTACCATAAACACATAGAACACTGTGTAACACCTTTAGCTATCAGGGAAATTTAAGACAAAAATGAGCTATTATACACAGCTATCAAAATGTCCAAAATTAAAAATACATATTAAAAAAAAAAATATATATATATATATATATATATATATACTGACATTGCCAAATGCTCTCAAATAGAGAAGTTGAGTCACTCAAACATTGCTGATGGGAATGTGTAATGGTACAGCCACATTTTTAAACAGTTTGGCAATTTTTTTCTTTTTCTTTTTTTTTTCTTGGTTTTTTTTTTTTTTTTTTTTTTTTTTTTTTGAGATGGAGTCTTGCTCTGTCACCCAGGCTGGAGTGCAGTGGCACGATCTTGGCTCACTGCAACCTCCACCTCCCAGATTGAAGCAATTCTCCCTGCCTCAGCCTCCTGGGTAGCTGGGATTTGGGATTACAGGTGCCCACTACCATGCCCGGCTAATTTTGTATTTTTAGTAGAGATGAGGTTTCACCAGGTTGGCCAGACTCATCTTGAACTCCTAACCTCAGGTGATCCACCTGCCTTGGCCTCCCAAAGTGCTGGGATTACAGGTGCAAGCCACCACACCTGGCCAGCAATTTCTTATAAGAGCTAAACATGCAATTATCATATGACCCGACAATTGCACTTCCAATCATTTATCTCAGAGAAGTGAAGGCTTCTGTTCACATAACATAATAATAAGTAATAGTAGCAGGAATATGTGTAGCAGCTTTAGTCATAATAGTCAAAGACAGGAAATCACCCAAATGTCATTGAAGATGCAAACAGTTAAACAAATTAATTCATCTAGACCATGAAATCCCACTCAGCAATAAAAAGGAATAAACTATTGATACAAGCACCAACTTGATGACTCTCCAGAGAGTGGTGCTGACCAAAAAAGTCAATCCCAGAAGGTCACATGCATTTCTACAACATTCTTATAGGAAGAGAGAAGAGATTAGTAGTGGCCAGGAGTTAAGGAGGGAGGTGTTGATGGGCCAAAGTAAGTGTAGCTATCAAGGGTCAACGGGAGGGATGTCTGTGTTGCTGGACATGTTCTGTATCTCACCTGTTTCAACGTCAGTATACTGGTGGTGATGTTATAATACAGTTTTGCAAAATTCTGCCATTGGGGAAAGCTGCACGAAGGTTACACAAGATCTTTGTAACTGCCTAAAACTTACATGAGAACTTTGTATTACCTCTTACAACTGCATATGGATCTATAATTATCTCAAAATTCAAAAATTTGTTAAAAATAATAAAACCCCATGGTAATTATTTACCAAATCACAGATGGACCTGAATATTCAAATAATTTTAATAGCTAAGTCTGAAGCTTTTCTACTGGGTAAATTCTATGGATACTTAATTCTTATTTGTACAAAAACCTCTATTTTAGAAATAGGTATCAGTACTTTGGGAGGCTGAGGTGAGCGGATCATCTGAGGTCAGCAGTTCGAGATGAGCCTGGCCAACATGATGAAACCCTGTCTCTACTAAAGAATTAGCCAGGCCTGGTGACACACACCTGTAATCCCAGCTACTCGGGTGGCTGAAACAAGAGAATTGCTTGAACACAGGAGGCTGAGGTTGCAGTGAGCCGAGATTGTGCCACTGCACTCCAGCCTGGGCAACAGAGCAAGACTCTGAAACAAAAAAAAAAAGAAAAGATATCAATTAGCTGCATCTATAGTGGCTTTGGTGGGAACAGGGTGTTCTGTCTTCCTTTTGACTGTGATTAGAAAGGGAAAACATTAATGTTAATAATAAATTATAATCACAACCATCTTCTATGTAAAGAAGAGAATCTACTCTGAAGGATAAATAACATTCATTGAGGATGGGCTCCTGCAGTCCAGTTTTTCCCTGGATACGTTGGCCTCTGTTGAAGTTTCTTTGAGCAGGGCTGGAGAAGCTGCCAGTGTTGATCTTATTTCCCGCTGTCCCATTAGAATAAATGTGAATTCTGTTTACAAATTACACAGCCCATTTAATTCAGCCTTTAGGATAAGTCAGAACTGTATGAATTGCCAAAGAGGGTTTTATATGAATGCAAACTATACCTCATAGATAAGATTTCCCGAGTTGAGGCCAATAATAATGGAGTGGGGTTGACGTGTTGAGAGCCGCTCCGTCATTTGGGATGCCTGTGTTGTCTTCAGTGAATGGTGGTATTAGACAAGGATACATCAAATCAAGTGAGCAACAGACAGGATTTTTATGAGTTTTCCCCTTGAACAGTATTATGATAAATTCACACAATTGCATTTGATTTTTTTCCCTCCCTACCAGGAGGATCAAGCAAAGAAAATGAGTTTGCACTTCAGTCTTTGAAGTTTTTCGATGCATGAGAACCATAGCCAGAGATAAGAATTAAGCTCCACACTTTAAATGAGCAATAAGCCAGGTTTTCAAGCTGTCTTGTTTAAGTCCCTGTCTGCTTCTTGCATGCTTTTTTCTCTCTTTTTTTTAGCTTCACACTCTTTTTTTTGGAGAAGCCATACATAAAGTGGCTGAGAAAATAATAATTGGCATTACCTTAATGTTTTCATCTCTAATAATCCCGAATCATAACATATTAGCATACTGACAAAAATCTATAGCCATGGACAGTGTTTGTTTTGAGAAGAGAAGAAGAAAATATCTTTTTTTAAGCCTTACTCCTAAAAATGCTCATTGCCAATGTGTTGAAAAGACTGCCTTTTACTCAGAAAGCGTTTCTAAGGTGTCGCGTATATAGAACAATACAAGACTCACACTTTTCTTGTTTTGAAATACATGTAATCACTATGTTGGTGTGATGTTTATTATGATCAATAATAAAACATACGTAAGATTTATAAGATATAGAAGGTAGAAAAGAAAATGAAACAATGATATAGTTAAAGCCACTAAACATTACACTTAATTTACATAATTAATTTTATGCATATTCACTGAATATTGTGTGCCAGGCACTATTTTGAGGGCTGGGATTACGTAAGTAGCAACTGGGCAAAAGACCAGCTCTCACAGATTTTACATTCTAATCAGACAGTTTTGCAGTGAAAATAATAACAATAATAGTAATATATAACCTGTCTCATGGCTTCTAAGGCATGGACTTTCTCACCTTTTTGTACCTCTGATATGGGATGTATCTTACTATCGCGTTGGTAAGAGAGACTCATGTCACATTTTAATTTTCTTTTTCAATAGTGTATGAAGTAATTAAGCATCTTATAATGATGGTATCTTAGCCTTGATGTTCTCCCAGGTGGTAATAAATTCAATAAAGAAAAATGTAGGGGAATGGTCAGAGGGCTGGAGAGTGAGGGAGCCTCTGCTCCTTAGGGTGGAACCAGCAGTGTGAGTCTCTGGAAGGGAGTGCTGGTGAAGGGAGTGGGGAGCTGCCCACCTGGGTAGCTGGGATGTGTCCCAGAAGAGAGCATTTGCAAATACAAAGTTGCAAAGTGAAATGGCATGGATTGCATCTGGTTAATTGCAGGAAGACCAGACTAAGCTATAGGGGAAGACTCATCCAAGGGGAAGATCTTTCCAGTGGGGCAGAAGCAAAGTCAGGAGGAATCAAGGCATCAGCCCCCTGCCATGTTTCTCTTGTCACTCTGCAATCAGAAGCCATGGAAGTTTTGTGCAGGGCAGTTGCCTGACCTGACACACATTGTTCGAGGAAGAACCTGATTGAGTGACGTGTAGGGTGTTGGGATGGGAAGGAGGTCTGGGTGAAGGCAGGAGGTAGGACGGAAGGTGGGTGGCACCGTGCAGGTGAGAGGAGTTGCCTCATGTAACAGCTCATAGTCATCAAGGTCGCTAGGTTGGAGGTGTGGTTAGAAGACAGACATGACGAGATGTGCTGATTCGAAGTCTCCATGCAGGCGGAGAGGTGGACAGAGTGGAGAGGTGGACAGAGTGGGCTTCAGGAATGCCCAAAAGCCTGAAAGGATTGGACAGAATGTGGTGGTCTAAGAGTGGGATGTGTTCAATAGGCATCCACAGGTGATGTTTCAGGCATTTCTATGAGGTCTCCAGAGAGGTGGCGGGACTGGGTGGCTGGGCTGATGGAGAAGAACCACTCAGGGCATCTGTTTCAGCCCCTCTGCCCCATGCTTCATCTTTCCCAGTGAAATATGTGCAGTGAAATATGTGCAGTGAAAACACATATTAACTGTCAGGGATACTATTTTCTTTCCCAGGGAGCTCTGTGCTCTGAGGACTGAACATATCAAGGGGCTTTTTTGCCCTCTGACTTCTCATTGGGATTCACCAAAGGGGAGTGACTGAGGCCACAGAGTGAGTGAAGTAGGGGTGTGCTGTCTCTCCGTCTCTCTTCCATGGATTGCCAAAGGTAGCAGCTCCCACCAGGGGCTTCTGTCCTCTCTGCTACCAGCTCCCAGTCCTGTCTGCTACCAGCTCCCTGTCCTGTCTGCTACCAGCTCCCTGGGGGGATAAATGGATCCACTGTGAACAGCACATGGGAACTGTGCTGACTAGCCCGTGATAGTTGACTTAAACCAATCACAAGTATTCCCGATATTTCCTGCATTAACTTTTTTTAATTTTCCGATTTGAGTGTGCCACTTCCTGCCAGCACTCTGACTCATAGAAATATAGGCGAGAAGTGTAAGGAACTGTCTGTTCCAGGAGATGAATACAAGATGGGAGCAGACAAGCTATCTGCGGATGTTAAATTAGTGATTTTATTCAGCAGCAAAATGAAGTCTATGGGGCAGGAATGAGGGGGATATGGAGAAAAGGTGGAGAGATCAGATCAAACAATTAGGTTGAGATTTAACACTAATAAATGGGATTTCCTCATGATTTTAGGCTGGAGAAGTAATATAATCTAAATTATGTTCACTATTTAGAAGGAAATATTTGTACTTCATAATCAAGGCAGAACATTTTTGAACTGTCTATAACAAAATGCAGTGAAAACACATATTAACTGTCAGGGATACTATTTTCTTTAATATAGGCTTGTATGGAATAAGCAAATATTGAATTAACTGGAACTCTTTACAAATGCTCAGAAGAAATTAAATGGAAAAGTCATAAAATCACCTTGATCTTTAATTTTGGTATTACATATAGGAACATCTACTGGTAATTAGATGAGTTTTGCATTAGAGATTATATCAACCTGAAAATGAAACACAGTTTTAAAAAACGATTTAGTCGTACCTTACAGAGGTAATATTCTGAAAGGACGCTGGCATAAATGGGAAATGTTCTAAGGAATATTTACTATGATGGCCTTATCTAAACATTTACTGCCAGAGAACCTCAAAGGTATTCTTATATAATTCTAAGGTTACTCTGGAAAGCATCAGATGCTACTAAGACCTCAGGTCTCATAATCAAAGAATGCCAGGAATGATGCGATTGTTGTAGTTCATGAGAAAGCAGAGAAATCACTCAGTGCTTTGCCACCTAAAAGGAAATCGTTAGACTTCCAGAGGGGAGTCTTGCCTGGGAGCCATCTGAGATTTTGCAGGGTTGAGCACCTTAGTCCAGGGAACTTTCTAGCTGACTTAACCAGAAGTTGAAGCAGGAAGCAATTTCCAGTGCAACAGAGAATGGCTGAGCTGCCACGGGAGCCCGTTTTTCAGTCCTAGAACTGTGCACTGGTGAATCTGCTCTGAAGTCTTACGTAGGGAAATAAAAGTCAACACAAGCCTGAATTTAACTTCAGATTAGAAAATAAGAATATGGGGTTGCAGGCATTCTGTCACTTTCCACTAAGAGAGAAGCATCTCACCAATGTTGGGCGCTAAATGGCCATCTGATGGGCCAAGACATAAAGAAGATGCCCTCGTCAGCACTAGAGTGTGGCACGTGTGCATGGCTTTAATGAGAAAATAATTTAGACTGTCCGAAAGAACCATGGTCATTACATAATAAGGAGATCTTGAAAAATGAACCAAGAAGCAATCCGCCCACACCACACAACACCAACCACAAATAAAGAAAAAATAAAATATTTAATTTAGGAGCAAAGGGGATATTAAGAAAGTGGGTAGTTCACTTAATGCCCATTTTGAAAGGCAGAAGGGATTCTCATTGAAAATATTTGCAGAAAAACAGTCAGGCAGTGGAAGTCCCTGTCAAGGAAATCAAAATAAAGCTATATGGTCAGAAGACCTGGAGATAAGTTAGAAGAATTTTGAAGAAACAGAAAAGTAACTACATCTCTATGTCAACAACTGTAGTTCCACAAAAGTTGTCTAATAAAGTTTATTTCTATTTCATTCATTGTTTCTTCAGAATCCCACCATGTTTATCAAAATGCAACTTTCTAACCTTCCAATCTCTGTATAAAACGTATTTCTTGGATTATAACTTTTAAAAACTAGGTTGCTATGACACAGTTTTCAAGTAAATTTATTTTTTCAATGACTTGTTTGCACATCTTAAACTGAATTTTGTATGCCATCTGCTACTGGAAGAACCTGACTGTAACCCCCCCATTTATTGATAAGGTATGTTCTTCAATGATTAGAAGAAATGTAACTGTGTGTGTCTGTGTGTTTAGGCATTACTCTGATGACTATATTTAAGCAGATCCATTTCACATAAACAATGTAGAATAAAAATAAGCCCATGTTGGCCATGTGTAGTGGCTCATGCCTGTAATCCCAGGACTTTGGGAGGCCAAGGTGGGAAGATCACGAGGTCAAGAGAGCAAGACCATCCTGGCCAACATGGTGAAACCCCATCTGTACTAAAAATACAAAAATTAGCTGGGTGTGGTGGCACACGCCTGTAGTCCCAGCTACTCAGGAAGCTGAGGCAGGAGAATCTCTTGATCCCGGGAGGCAGAAGTTGAGGTTGCAGTGAGCCAAGATCGCACCACTGCACTCCAGCCTGGTGACAAAGTGAGACTCCATCTCAAAAAAAAAAAAAAAAAAAAGCCCATATTGAAAACAATTTTTAACTTTCAGTAATGGGAAGGAGTAACAACTTTTCTAAAAATTATCATTTCTATTTTTGCACCAAAGACTTGGCAACCATTACCTGCAAAAGCTAAGCAGGAACTGTCGTGGTATAAATACATTTCATCACTTGACAATGCTAAGGAGTAAACACTTTAAATGATTTTTTTTCTTTTAACCGTCTATCTTTCATTTGCATAGTTTCTCAATCCCAAATATTTTATTTAAAAATCTATTTATTTAAAAGGTGTTTTATTTTTCCATAGTCATATTCAGTTCTCTACCCATGCCTCTTCCTGATTATAATGCCCAGATTAAGAAGTTCAGGTATTACCAAGCAATCTACTGAGTCATCTTTCTGGTAAGTTGTTGGTTGATAACTACCAACTGGGTTCTGGGACTTTTCCTCAGACCCTATTATTATGTTATAATTTTCAGAGTAGGAACTTCAAAAATTTAGCAGAACATGGAATTCACACAGTGATCTCTTACATGATCACATTCGAGTCTGTGATACTATCAAGCATCTACTAACATTTGAAAGAAGTGTGACACAGTAAAGTCATGTCAAGGCAGGAAGTAAGAGGTGCTGCAGAAGAGCAGCCGATATCTTATCTCACTGTGGGCGTGGTGGCAGGCTGGTAGGAAATGACAATTGTATGGAATAAAATATTTGTTTTCTCCAATGTTATGAATAAATAGGAGCAAATTTTCAAAGTCATTGAACAAGTTATCGTTGTAGATAGAGCAAAAGTAAAGTGAGAGATGTGATGTGTTTCCTCTTAATTTTAGCAAGACTATGGGTCATATGTTACCGGAAACATGAAGGGAGAACATTAATAAACAAGTTTTGTCAGTTGTTTATTGGTGGAAATGAGGTAAATCAAGTAGAGATAGAAGAAAATTCAAGTAAAGTATAATTTAACTCTCATACAAGGGATGGAAGAGAGGCATGCACTACTGGAAAAAAGGCATGGGGATGGGATGGGTCAGGGAGGCGGCAAGATGAATACCAGTTAAATAGCCTTTTAAAACTGAAAGTGACATGCTGACTTCCGGGAAAAGACAAACTGGGAATACAAAAGCGGCACACTAAAGCAACTGCCTAGTGGGAAAATGAGATGGGAAAATTTTCACTCTCCAAGTTACTGCCTTTCTGTAGAGCAGAGGAGAGTATGCAGGGTTAGACAAGATTAGTGATGGCCCAGGTGTGACATCTGCACATGGGAGGGAAGGTGAGGGATGGGGAGTTTCAGCTGTTGCATGGACCTGTGTCTTAGTGGAACTGGGAAATCCTAATCTCCATCATCCCTCTTCCATAGAGAGTCCATAGAGTTGCTAGCTCTGTTGGTGTTTTAACCATATTCATTTTCTCATGGGCTCCTTACTGTCTAGAACAGAAAGTCTGGAAGCCTGGAAACTGCATTTCCCAGAATCCATTACTAGCAGGGTTCCTGATCTTGCTAAGGAACTAAAACCAAGAAGAGAGATTTAAGGGCTCAGACAATGCAGTGAGAAAAGACCGAACTGAACCCTCCAGTTTACTAGTCATGCAACTATTCAATGCTTAGAATATTATCCAATTTTCTTCAATTATTTTATCTGTAAAATAAGGTAAACAATAGAACCTATCTTATATATTTACAAAGAGCTTCTTTGAATTTTTTTGTTGTTGTTGTTGAAATGGAGTCTCGTTCTGTTACCCAGGCTGCAGTTCAGGGCCATGATCGCTGCTCACTGCAACCTCCACCTCCAGGGTTCAGGTGATCCTCTTGCCTCAGCCTCCTGAGTAGCTGGGATTACAGGCACCTGCCATCACACCTGGCTACTTTTTGTATTTTTAGTGGAGATGTGGTTTCACCATTTTGGACAGGCTGGTCTCAAACTCCTGACCTCAAATGATCCACCCGCTTCAGCTTCCCAAGGTGCTGAGATTACAGTTGTAAGCCACTGTGCCTAGCAGAAAAATGCTTTAACATGTTGTAATGATGAAATAAAGGGACTTCATAACCATCATCTACTTGATAAACATTAATTAAATACCTACTACATATGTCAGACAATTTGTTCAGCATTAAAAAAATAAACAGAAGACAGATACAGCTTCCACTCTCATGGTGTTTATAATCTAGTTTAAAATCTATACAACACATACAAAATGATTTCTACATTTCTCAGCACATAGTAAGCAGTTATTAAATGTCACCTGTAAGTATTCATATTGATAATAATGATGTAATAACATCTCCCTTATAGCAGATAGTCCTACATATCAGTGGAAGATGTATCAAAGAGGGAAGATGAGATATTAGAATTCCCAGTATAGTTGTGTGTATATTCATATGTTTGTATGTATATGTATGTGTGTATATATGTATATGTGCATGTGTGTATATATGTATATATGCATGTGTGTATATATACATACTTGGCAATTATATTTTTGTTCTGATTTATCCTCTTTTATAATTAAATTTGTACATGTATACCCATACACACATACATACATACATACATACAGATATCGATTAATACATATCGAGATTGACAAATATAAGAAATAGACAGTGTGGCCAGTGCCCCTGGTGTGATCTGGTGCACAGTTTATGTGACCAAACTCAGTAGTGCTGGCTGTTGCTGTGGATGTATTTTTGTGGGGGAGGTGGGACTATCTGTAATTTATTATAGGTAAGGTATAAATTACAAACCATAGAAAACAACAACCATAGACTTTATTTCATAGAAAATTTTACGCTGAAAAACCTAACAATTTAACCATTTCATTAAGTTATACTTTATGCACAAGAAATGCAGATATTCAAAAGTGTGCAATTCGATGAGTTTTGATAAACATCAACCCTTGTTTTCACCACCCCTCGTCAAGATATTGAACATTGTTGACCCCTCCCAGAGTGCGAATACCTCATAGTGAAAGATATTGAACGTTCCTGACAGCCCCCAAAGTGTCTTCATGCCTTTTTCCCTGCAGGGGCGTTTAAGAATGAAGGTCAGTGAACATCTGTGTACAAGTGTTGCTTTGGACATGGCTTCCATTTCCCTTGGGTCACTACCTCTGTGTGGAAGGGCCATGTCATATATTAACTACATGTTTAACTTTTTAAAAAGTTACCAAATTGTTTCCCAAAATAATTTTTGCATTTTATATTTCCTTCAGCATTTTATTATCATTTCTGTTTATTTATGCTTCAGTACATATTTACATTGTGAAATGGTCAAATCAAGGTTCGTAGCATTTGCATCATCTCCAACGTTCAGCGTTTCTTTACGGTAAAAACATTGAAAATCCTCTCTTCTAGCTATTTTGAAATATACCATGCAATATTGTTAAGTGTAATCACCCTTCTGTACAATAGCACACAAGAACTTCTTACTTCTACCTGAGACCCTGCACCTGTTAACTCATCTCTCCCCATTCCTGTCCTCCTGCCTCCCCCAGTCTCTGGTAACCACCATTCCATCCTCTGCTCCAATGAGATCAGTTTTCTGAGGTTCTCCGTAAAAGTGAGATGATGATGTGCTTGTCTTTCTGTCACTGGCTCACTTTACTTAACAAAGTGTCCTTCAGGCTCATCCGTGTTGCTGCAAATGACAGGATTTCTTTCTTTTTTATGACCAAATAGTATTCCACATTTTTACCATTATTCATCCATTGATTGACACCTCGGTTCTTTCCGTATCTTGGCTATTGTGAATGATTCTGCAGTGAACAGGGGAGTGCAGCTATCTCTTCCATGTACTGATTTCATTTCTGTTGGGTATATGCCCACTAGTAGGATGACTGGATCATATGATAGTTCTTTTTTACTTTTATAAGAAAGCTGCATACTGTTTTCCATGGTGGCTGTACTAAGTTCCACCCTCACTAACGGTGAACTCTTACACACAGTTTTTCTAAATGTTTGCTGACATTTGGTATGGTCAGTCTTTTAAGGGTTGCTATGAAAGTCTTTTTTTTCCCCATCATTTTTATTTGAATACCTTCTTTGGTAAAATATGCTCAGTATAAACAGTTTGGGGTGATTTAATATTCTTGACAGTTTCGTTTCTCGTGCCATTTCTTTAAAGCCCAGCTTCTGTCAAGATTTGTACTGTAATTTGAATATTGGCATAAGCTGCAAGAGTTATGCTTCTCTTGAGGCCTGGCCATTCGTCTCTGAATAAGGAAGCAGTTCTGGCTGCAGAGCCGTTTGTTTGTTTTCTAAAGTGACTTTTAAGGTCCCCCCTTCCTCGAGTGTTTAACAGTCAAGGAAATTCATTCTACGTAGCTCACATATCACTTTTAGGTCCCCAACCATATAGTTGAAATTAGAACTTCTAAAACCTATATAATAATTTAACATCTATTTAATTTCAAATTTCAGGTGCTGTAAGAATAATAGCTATTTTGTAATTACCTTCAGATATAAGTAATGGTAGACGCAACGAAGCAGATAATGCAATTTGACAAAGTTACTATGTTCTTCATGGAATTAAGGCTTAATTCCATTTTCTAAAATTCAAAATTCCTTTACCTTATTAATTCCTGATTCTGCAAGGGCGCTTGTCAGCCCTGTGAATTATCAGTTGAGCTCATAAACTGATGCTAACATTACACATTGACAGTAATCGATTTGACAGGCATACGCCTCCTCTGCTGGAAGCAATTGGTCCTCTAGAGAGGGTTTTTAAAGTAGTCTCTTGTTTCCTCTCTGAATTTCATTAAGATAGGTTATTATTAGCCTGATTAAATTAAATAGTTACTTTTACATTTCCATGGAATTTGAAAAAAAGTTGATAAAAGGGATAAAGTGAGTTAACAGAAGTTTAATAAATATCATTATTTTTGTGGGATCACTCTATGAACACTAGATTTGCAGAGTATGGTCAAATAGATTGTTTCATATCTCATAGATTTGAAATATGATTATTTCCATACACCTATATTGATGAAGAAGGTTCTTTTTACTTCATCCTTATTAAATATTTTCATCATTTGACTGTGAAAATCTTCATTTTAAAGGTTTCAAAAATATATATATAGGAATTGTGGAATCATTACATATTGTTAAATTTTTATGATTAGTTATTATTAAATAGGAGACAGGGACCATCTTTTTATGAGAAGTTTTGACTTGAAGAAAAATCAGTACTGATTCATTTCCAGGACTTCAGTTTGCACTTCTGATTTTATTTGTGTCATTTTGTGGTTTGCGATGAAGTAGGCTGGCCTTGAAAATCTCAAAGCAAAATAAAATCTGACCAGTTCTTGTTATGCTTATTCAGTGATATAGTTTGGCTGAGTCTGCACCCAAAATCTCATCTTGATTTTTAGTCCCTATGATCCCCATAATCTTCTTGTGTCAAAGGAGAGGCCAAGTAGAGTGATCGAATCATGGGGATGGTTTCCACTATGCTGCTGTCGTGATAGTGAGTGAGTTCTCATGAGATGTGTTGGTTTTATAAGTGTTTGGTAATTCCCCCTGCATTCCTCTCCTTCATGCCGCCTTGTGAAGAAGGCACTTTGCTTCCCCTTTACCTTCCACCACGATTGTAAGTTTCCTGAGGCCTCCCCAGCTGAACTGTGAGTCAATTAAACCTCTTTCCTTTATAAACTACCCAGTCTTGAGCAGTTCCTTATAGTAGTACAAATATGGACTAATACATCCAGTGATTTGGAACATGAGGAAACTAACTGGGCACAACCCATTAAATATAACTTAGCACCAATTAGTTTATGTCAGGCCTACATTTTAGTAAACTATAAAGTTTAGCACAATAATTTGACTTAGTGGTTTGTAATGTAAGAAAAATAAAGTAAGTTGACAAGTTTTTAAAAAGTTAATTATGGCATCTCACCTTGAAAGTGGCAGTGTCAAGAAATAAAAACATAAATAAAAAATTATATTGCCTTGTATCTTCATCTGTCCTGGTGTTTAATAAGGAGAAGTCACTTAAGATGACATTGAAGGAGGAGAGGAGGCAATTGAGGGAAAGAGCAGGTGGACAGTCTCCAGCTTCCTTTTCCATTAATTGATTTGAAAAGTGATGTTCCTATTTTTTAATAAAAAAGCAAAGTTAGAGAAGTCGAGCTAAATTAGATCCAAAAGGGGAGTTCCAAGTATCTATGAGTCTCATGATCACTGTCTGATACGTAACCTACGGAACAAAATAACCTCTGGTACTTAAAAAAATTGATGATCAAGAAATAATTTAACTCATGTGATGTGCAGGATGGAACGTTTAGGAGTAGTGTGTATATTACTGAGAATGAAATCCTGATTCTAATACAGCTCCTCACATGCTCTGCTTTTGTATCTACTGTTATTGAAAGGAAAGTATTAGGGATAGGACAATACAAATTTGGAAAACGTTACCAAGTATAATTCATGCAATAGTCTGTTCTGCTTTTTTACATTTTCACAGATTATCAAGAATATTTTCAGATTGGCACAGATTTTTTTTAAATAATTCTTTCTGATTCTACATAGACCCAGCTTTTTTGTTCACAGAGACACATTTTACTTGAGATAAAACCCCTTTTATTCTAGTGGGAAATACAATGCAGATTCCATTACTCACCTTTTAGAGATGGTAGACACTAAAATCTTTTGTGGTCATCTTTGATCAGTTTTATTCTAACAGGTCATAGTTCTTCACCTCAATGTCAATATACGTGAATCAAGGTGCTGAAATTTACCTTGGTTAAATTTGCTGTCTATTGAATAAAAAGAGAGAAAAAGGGTATCCGAACCTAGCCAGATTTTCTTTGATGTTTTTCTTCAGGGCAGAATGCACTAACAACAACAGAAGAGTAATGAAAACTCTCTGGGCTCCCTGCTGCTGGGACAGGGCATTTCCTTTTTTTTCCTTTTTTCTTTCTTCTTTTTTTTTTTTTTTTTGAGACCGAATCTTGCTCTCTCTCCCAGGCCAGAGTGCAGTGGCGCAATCTCAGATCACTGCAACCTCCACCTCCTGGGTTCAAGCGGTTCTCCTGCCTCAGCCTCCCAAGTAGCTGAGATTACAGGCAGGTGCCACCACGCCCAGCTAATTTTTGTATTTTTAGTAGAGACAGGGTTTCACCATGTTGGCCACGATGGTCTGGATCTCTTGACCTCGTGATCCACGCACCTCAGCCTCCCAAAGTGCTGGGATTACAGGCGTGAGCCACCTTGCCCAGCTGGGACAGGGCATTTTCAACATACAGGAGTTTCCCTTGTCCCAAGGAGATAAGCTCTAAGTCCCCCAGTGGATGCCTGAAACCAAGCCATATGTATTATGCTTTCTCTATGCGTACATACTCCTGATAAAGTTTAATTGACAGGCTAGACACAGTAAGAGATTCACAACAATGACTAATGATAAAATAGGACAAGCATGGTGGCGCTTTGGGATGCTGGGACAGGAGGATTGCTTGAGCCCAGGGACTTGGAACCAGGCTGGTCAACATAGTGAGACCCCTGTCTCTACAAAAGTAAAATAAAATCATTATCTGGGTGTGGTGGCATGTACCTGTTGTCCCAGCCACTCCAGGGGCTGAGGTCGAAAGATCACTTGAGCCCAGGAGCCTGAGATCATAGTGAGTCAGCCATGATGGCTCCCAGCCTGGAAAACAGAGTAAGACCCTGTCTCAAATAAAATAATATTTAAAAAAATAGAATGATGATAACAATATGCCAATTTCATTACTCTTGGGCAATTGTTAAGTCAAATAAGGGTTCCTTGAACACAAACACTGTGGTTCCTTGACAGTTGACCTGATAATCAAGAAGGACAATTCCTTCCTGATAGAAATGGCAAAGGAAGTAAGATCATTGTGTAATCACAGAAACACACATTTTTTTCTTTATTTGAATGAATAAGAAAGATTTTGTGTTCAAATTGTGATACTAGGGTTACATTTTTGAAGTCATATTGTTTTACTAAGTGTAATTACAAAAACTACAAGAACAATAGCCAAGTAATTTTTTAACTTTTTTTCTCTATATGACCTAAGGGACAATCATTAAGTTACACATATTCGCATACAAACAGTGAATAAATACACAGACTAGACGTGCTACCTTGTGGTATGTTTTGCTTGGTACACTCTCAATGAATGCAGTAACTGGGCAATGTGCGAACTATTCAATAGCTTCCCAAGTTTGCTAATCAGAGATTATTAAGTCAGATTGTACTCAAAATTAATAGACTAAACTAGGCAATACCTGGCTTTTGCAAAGAAATATGATAAACTCTAATTGAATCATGGTGTATTTCATTATGCTCTTAGATACAAATGAGCTTCCTGTACTAAACAAATATCATAAACTCTAATTGAATCATGATATATTTCATTATGCTCTTAGATACAAATGAGCTTCCTATACTGATAAATTTGTGTTCATACTTATAATTGAATAATGGGTGCATTGAACATAAAACAAATAATTTTTAAAAGGAGGTAAATTTTTTTAAAATGGTACGGAAGAGCTTGGAGAGACCACTTTTTCACCAACAAAGAAAACTGGTACTGTGAATCTTTTCTGATTTTGTAAGTAGCCAAAAATAGTTAAATAATTGAGGTGTGTGTTTATTTGAGGGTCGCCATTAATTTGTCTAAACACAAGCAGCTCGTGCCGTAGGACTGGTGGAGGTGACTTCCACCATCCCAGTTGTGAGGAGAGACAAGGTCGCTGAGGGAGTACCCATTCACCAAAAAGTATGTGCCTATTCTGTGATCCAACAATTCCACCCCTAAGTGTTCACCCGAGTGAAATAAAAACACATTTCCACACAAAGACCTGGGATGGAACATTCGTAAGACTTTCTTCATAATAGCCCCAAACTGGAAACAACCCAAATGCCCATCAGCTGGTGACAAGATAGACAAATGGTGCCAAAGCCACAGAGTGGAGGACCATTGAGTCAGCTGGTGATAAGATAGACAAATGGTGCCAAAGCCACACAGTGGAGGACCATTGAGCAACAAAAAGTTCATAACTACTGATACAGGGAACCAAATGGATGAATCTCAGAATCATTACACTCAGTGAAAGAAACCAGAGACAAAAATGTGTGTACCCTATGATTCCATTTATATGAAATTCTGGAAGAGAGAAAGCTATGGTGACAGAAATCAGATCACTGGTTGCCAGGAGCAAGGGAAAGGGAGAAAAAATGGACTGAAAATGGATATGGAGGAAATTGTGGAGGAATGAGAAGCCTCCATACCATGATTTTGGTGTTGGATACATGACTATAACCTTTAGTCAAATTCGTCAAATTAAATTAAGACTCCTTAAATTGTTCATTTAGACGTGGTAAAATTTGTGGTACCTAATTCATTCCTTAATTAAACTGATTATTTAAAAATATCATTGAACTATGATGAGTAATAATAAGTGACCCCAAAATAATTTAATCTGTTTAATTATTTTTTAAATACATAGGACTGTACAACTCGACTAGCTGGTGCTGGTGTTTGAAGGTGTCTCCTGTAAAATTCAGGTGTTGCCAATTTGGTAGCAGTAAGAGCTGTGACCCTTAATAAAGAGCTTAACAAAGAGAATCTACCCCTTTTGCCCTTTTCCTTCTGCCATGTGAGGACAGTGTTCCTCCCTCTGGAGGACACAGAATTCATGGCACTGTTTTCGAAGCAGAGAGCAGTTGTCATCAGACACCAACCTTCCCAGTGCCTTTATCTTGATCTTCCTAGCCTCTTGAACCATGAGAAATACATTTCTGCTCTTCATACATTACCCAGTCTATGTTTTTCTGTTATCGCAGCACAAGGGGACTAAGACGATGAAAAATACATAAAATCACTGGCATCAGAAAAATGCATCGAAAATAGATTTGAAATATTTAATTTATTTCCCACTTGATTCCCAAAAGACAGATCATGGTCTAGCCCTATTGTAACATGCTCTTTTTCAAAATTTACTGTTTTGTCTTCTGTCTTCTGTTTGTGTCTTACAATAGATTTCTTCAGTAGTATACCTTTTAAAATGCTTTCAGACAGACTCAATTATAAGAATTACTGAAATGCACATGATATTTTTGAAAGATTCTTTCAATAGGCATTTTGGGAAAAGTGAGTGGAAGAACAATGTGGAAAGTGGCCCCAAATCCAAGATTCTTGGTTCCTCTTTCAGGTTTAACTTCTGGCTCATTTTTTCCAACTCCCTCAACAAACCCCAAATTATTGGCTGAGCATTGATCAGGTACCCAGAATTGTATGCCATCAAGAATGCTGAGTGGCTAAGTGTGAGTCCAGCCCTTGAGGAAACAGCAGCCCCTTCATGGTGAGAGGCAACAAGACTGAAAATAAGTGAAACTAAGTTTCAAAGGAATGAAACACTGGTGCAGAGTAGAGTGACCTTGGAGATTTCATTGATCATCTAGTCATGGGAAGGGTAGATAGGTGTAGATGATAGAATCCACGCTAGGACATCAGGGCTGGACATGGTGGCTCACGCTCTAAGACATCTGTGGGGCCGGGCGCGGTGGCTCACGCTCTAAGCCATCTGTGGGGCCGGTTGTGGTGGCTAATACTCTAAGCCATCTGTGGGGCCGGGCGCCGTGGCTCACGCCTGTAATCCCAGCACTTTGGGCGGCCAAGGTGGGTGGATCGCCTGAAGTTAGAAGTTAGAAACCAGATTGACCAATATGGTGAAACCCTGTCTGTACGAAAAATACAAGAATTACCTGGGCATGGTGTCATGCACCTGCAGTCCCAGCTACTCTGGAGGCTGAGACAGGACAATTGCTTGAACCTGGGAGGTGGAGGTTGTAGCGAGCCAAGATTACAGCAGTGCACTGCAGTCTGGGCAACAGAGCAAGACACTGTCTCAAAAAAAAGAAAAAGACATCTGTAGAATTTATAATTTAGAAATCTGGGGATTTTTTTTATCTTGGGGTTTAACACATAATCAAACAGGCTAAATATTATCTTGAATTGGCTGATGTTACTAAAGTCTACAAAATTGTTATTTTCATAGTGAGAACTCCTCTATTCTTTGTTTTGTGTAAATAAAATGAAGTCTTTGATAAGGTAGAGAATGATGTTTCTCTTTTCTTAATCACAACCTGGGATTGTATATAGTAACTCTCATTTGCATTTGGTCATTCCTTTATCTCTGCCCATTCAATGTGTGGCTCCCTCAGGAATGTGGGCTCAGAGCAGTCCTTCTCGTCCTATATCCAACTGTTTCCTTGTGGAGGACCTACTCAGGGCCAATCCCTGGATCCAGTCTCTGAAGACCACCACCTTTTATACTTTAATGACTCTGCATTTTCCTCCAGACTTGGTTTCAACTGTCTTGTAGTATGAGTTTAAGAAAAGAAATTGCCCATCAATTTAATAGAATGTTAAAGATGTAATTTTCATTTTTTCATACTGAAAATGAGCATAGAATCAGCAAATGAAGCTTCGTCTTCAGTTATTGTAATAAAATGACCACCACCACAGTAAAACTTTACACAGCTTTTAGTGTCTTTTTTTTAATAATCTACAGCACAGAGGAAAACTATAAATAGGCAGTATTAGTCTCTTTAATATATAATAAATTCTGATTATTAGATAACTGGACCAAGAGAAACAGGAAAGAGTGATTTTTCTCAATCATGGGAAGCATTTTACTTATTATTTTTAATATATTGGAGCGTGAACAAGTACCATCTTTATGTGTTTAAGGAATGTTTTCAATCCATGCGCAGAATGGTGAAAGTAATAGAATGTTCAAAGTCTTAGTATTCCATAACCTATGCCTAAAAGGAATCATTGCAAGCGTGACAAAGGTATTAAGACCCAAAAGTTTAGAATTTGACTAATTTTTAACCAGAACAGTAGTACACATTTAAAAACAACACTGATTTCTTTTTTCAAATTAACATTTTTGATTTTAAAGTAGTTTTAGGTTTAAAGAAAAGTTGCAAAGATAGTACAGAGCATTTCTGTCCACCCCACAGCCAGTTTCCCTATATTTAATACTTTATATCGTTAGGTACATGCATCACAACATGGAAACGTTATTAACTGAAGGTCGTATTTTATTCAGATTTCCATGGCTTTTTTTTTTTTTTCCTAGTGTCCTCTTCCTGTCCCAGGAACCACCCAGATCCACCCTGAGTTAATTGTCTTGCCTCATCTGGTCCCTCTGAATTGTTACTGCCTTTCCTTGGTTTGATGATCTTGGGTATTTTGAGGAGTCCTGGTTGGTATTGTGTAGACTATTCCTCAGGTTGTATTTATCTGATGCTTTTCTTGTGGTTAGACTGGGGTTATACGTTTTCCAGGAATATCATAAAGTAGTTGTATCTTTTAAGGACTTTTATCAAATAATTTTGAGGACTTAGCTTGGCTTTTCTTAAGTTGAATGACTTCCCAACTATTGAAATTAAAAGTAATATCAATGATGATGTTAATAATAATAGCAAAGAGATAGAACTTAATATACCCTGGGCTCTATTTAGGCACTGTGCATTGGCTTCTCATGCATTGGATCTTTAAGGAGATGCGAACGATTATTATCCACAATTAGGTAAACAGGTACTTCTAGCAACTCACAGGAAGTCACACAGATAATTGATGTTGCTGAGATTCCATCTAAAACAGGATCTATTCCAAGAGTCTATATTTCTACTCACTTTGCTATCCTGCTTCCAGACTGTGGTCTAGAAGTAGCAGGAAAATAAAGCAATTAATTTATGCAAAACTGTATTGATGAAGATTATTTCTTTTAATGAATCTAGATATGCAGATTTTTTTCTTGACATGTTGGCTATTTGGTATTTGATTAGAACGTTGTAGGTGACGAAAGTAATCTGAATTATTTCTCCACTTTTTTTTTCCTATTTATTTGCTTCTCAATCCTGTTGATAAAAGGGGTTACGAATCTATAGCAATTGGCCAGACGTGGGATTTTCCAGGTTTCAGAATTTCCTAGTTAGCTGAGGGTTACTTGAATATCCTCCTCCTGACAGGCAAACACAAATACATAGAGTTTTTATTAAAAATCAGTGTATATGCTTATTTAAAAATACAAATATGTGTGTATTTTTATTACTTGAAAAACAGAAATTCTAGAATAGTAAATTTTTATTCCTATTTTGTTCATCTGGCTTCATCTGGTGATCAGCACCTTCATCCTTCATTTTCAATTATTCATTTTGGAAACGGCAGTGGAGTTAGTTTTATTTTTGAAGTTTACAGTGAACCTGAACTCAAGAATCAACCAGGAGCATCTGGTTGGTGCAGATTGTAAGCCTGATAGTATCCTTCTGTGAGGATGACCACTTAGGTGCTCAGAAATGTGTTACTTGATAAGGCAAAAAGTTCAGTTCCTGCTGAGTTAAGAATTAGAGAACAGCGCAGCTTGCGTCATTGAGAAGCCTCGACCTCCATGAGGTTCCTAGCTGGCGTTTCAGCCTTAAACAATGGCAACAGACACAGCAGAGCATTAACTATTTGTATGCCTCGAGTATAATGTAAGTGAAAGGAACACTATAGCAAGATGATTTTTCAGGACTAAATTTCTACTAATTAATTCTGGAAAGTAAAATTGCATTATGCATACCTTTCATGTATTCTGAGGTGCTTCTCATTACTACCTTGGCTGTTGTATTCGTTTTCTATGTCTTTAAAAGAAATCTATAATATTAAAAAGGAAAAATTCTATCCTTTAAAATGACTCATTCTTCCTTCTCATTTCCTACTATGGTCTGACATTAGTTTGTGCAATCCCGTGTGTCTGCATGATCACCAATTTGGAAATTCAATGGAGATGTCCTGTGATGTTAATGTAGATTTCTCTTGCTCTGGTGCAGGGCAGTGGGATCACTGGAAAACCTGCTTCTCATTACGTTGCAGGTTATGGCAGACAGACCTGTTGAGCTGAGACACAGGACATTGTTGGATCTGAATCTTCAGCTCAAAATCAATGCTTTTATATACCCAAATCGGGTTACTAGATCAGCGGGACCGTCAGGGAATTTGGCCAAGTAAATATGACTCCATGATTATAGCTGACCAATATCTTGAATAAAATTGTTGCTTTCCCAGTAAGTGCTCTCTGACATCCAGTCTCTTAGTTTTCTGGGCAGGATCACCAACAAAGTTCTGAATTCCAACAGCACTAATAAATAATTTGGACAGTGCTATAAACAAGTTTGAAAATCTATACTCTCATGGTCTCCATGAGACAAGCGAGATGAGCTGCTGAGACAGTTCATTTCTGTGGTTACTTATAGCCCGAATTTCCAGAGTCCAGCATTTCACACTGGGGCCACAAAAGGGAAGGAAAAACACAGCAGGTGTAGTTCCCGCTCCATCTTAGCTTTTGACTACACCTTTGGAATCATCTCATTCTTGTTTCAGTCAAACAAAGCACATTTGTATGAAAAGCAAACATGGTATTTCATGTACACAACCGAATTTTCCCTGAGCACCATAATTAAGCACGATCACACATCATTTTAACAAGCACAGGCCACTGTAACAGCAATCCGCTACTTTCTGGGCTTATGTCACTGATGGTGACGGACAAGGAGAGAGTCATGGGAGGCTCCATGTCTGTCCAAGTGCTGGGTTGTGCTGTGTCATATGGTTTTCAGTAATGCCGGGAGCATGTGCCACGTCCATACCGCGTGGACATGTTCTCACACTGTCTCCAAAAAACAGGGTCTGTAGACTTCCATTTATGTGCTGCAATCTTGTTTTCCGAAGGTGATGAAAATATATCAATTAGTTTAGGGATTTCTGAGTGAAAGTCTCAGGGAAAAAAAATGAGAATCTAAGAGCAGGCACAGTGTGGTCAGTTGCACAAGAAACTGTTGCTTTTACTCACTCTCTCTTCAGCGAAAATGGAAGCATGTACTGATTTCTGGGCCATTTTAATCTGTTCATTAACACTTCCCGCATGTAGTAGCTATGGCAGCCCTGGAACACACCTTATCTATTCTAGTTTGTGATTAAAGTTTTTAAGCCTTAAGTTCAGAATACAGATGGTAGTCAAATAGCACATGAGAAAAAAGGCAGACATACAAGCTAGACAACATTGCTTTCATACGAATAAGCATATAAGAAGTTGTGTAAATATCTTACACAGGCAATAAGAGTTTTGGTCTGCTATTTTGGGAGATAAAAAGTTAGCTGTCTGAAATCTAAATGTTTTCCACTATTTTTAAGAAATATTTCCTGAACAGCTACAGCAGAGTGTTTTCTGCAGAATATTAATTGCAATCCAGTAGCAAACCGTATGGAATTTAAAGGTCCCTCTTATTTATGGAACATCATCATAGTACATCTATTTTGTGATAACTTGAAGAATCTCAACTCTTCATGGTAACAAAGACTGCAGCAACCTGCTATATTTCATATGTCAAACAGAAATTGTATTACCCCATCCAGAATAAATTTGGTAATGCAAGCACAACCGTGGGAGCAGAACGTGGTGTGATTTAAACTCTTGGTAAATCATTCTCACTAAAATTCAGGGATATCAGCTTATATAATCCAATAGTCATCTATTGAGATTTAGAGAAATTGCTGTTCATATACATGACTATGGGTGAACCTAATTTTAGAATTTAGTTTTATTCATTGAGCGGTTTTATACAAAGAACTTTCATAAGTGGTTTTGGAAGGGAAGAGAAAGAACCTGATAAAGCTGTCATTCATGGAGTTCTCATCTACTTGTGGAGACAGGTCACAGAGAACAAAGAACACACAGCAGTGTAGGCTCAGTGAGTTCTGTACTAGCTGTCTTGTGTCCATGTACAGTGCTGCCTTGCCTGACATGCCATCAACATGAGAAATGGTGTTAGCAGGGGATGTGGCCACAGCAGAATCTAAAGGACCAGGCAACTCCCTGGACGTGTTTCCATGTAGCTCCTGGGACACCCATGGTTGACTACACAAAAGGAAACAAGCAAGCGTGCTAACTATGCTTCTGACGGCACAGTTATGTCTCATTCCTTTCTGCCTTCTTAGCTCTTTTTGAAATTCAAGTATACACCGAATACATTCTTATGTGGAAATTGGATGTTTAAAAATCCATCATAGTCCACATTCATTTATTTCTACCTTCAGAGTTCTTTTTCTCTATTTCTCTTGTAGTGTTTGGTCCTCTGTTATTTGTTTTGTTAAAGGGCCAGTTTTCTAAACTATATCTAAAGAACACTTTTTTTTTTTTTTTTTTTTTTTTGAGACGGAGTCTGGCTCTGTGGCTCAGGCTGGAGTGCAGTTGCGCAGTCCCGGTTCACTGCAAGCTCCAGCCTACTAGGTTCACACCATTCTCCTGCCTCAGCCTCCCGAGTAGCTGGGAATTACAGGCGCCCCCCAACACGCCCGGCTAATTTTTTGTATTTTTAGTAGAGACGGGGTTTCACCATGTTATCCAGGATGGTCTCGATCTCCTGACCTCATGATCCACCTGTCTCCGCCTCCCAAAGTGCTAGGATTACAGGTGTGAGCCGCCGCGCCCAGCCAAGAACACTTATTTTTAAAAAGAATTGACAAGTGTGAAAAGTCACTGTAGCTAGTGGCTACTCATTGTAAGTGCCAAAAATTAAATATCATATGCAACTCAAAATCTTCTTTGGCAATTTAAAAAATCTCACTTATTCTCATGAAAACTTGGGGATATGTTTCTAAACAACATAGATCCATTTTACCAATAAAGAAGTTTTGTCTTCCATTTATTACTTGTATACTTTTCCATTTTTCCAGATCTCAGTCTGAAATAAAGAATAAAAAGGGACTGAGCTTCATCAGATTCTCCAGAATATATAAAATCTTCATATAAATACAACATATAATACACACACACCTATAAATGTGACATACAAGGCCAGGCACAATGGCTCACGCCTGTAATCGCAGCCTGTTGGGAGGCTAGAGGAGGGCAGATCACTTGAGGCCAGGAGTTGGAGACCAGCGTGGCCAACATGGTGAAACTCCATCGCTGCTAAAAAATACAAAAATTACCTGGGCGTGATGATGCATGCGTATAATCCCAGATATGCAGGAGGCTGAGCCAAGAGAATCTCTTGAATCCGGGAGGTAGAGGTTACAGTGAGCTGAGATCGTGCCACTGCACTCCAGCCTGGGTGACAGAGCGAGGCTCCATTTCAAATAAATAAATGCAACATGTAAATAAGTTCAAGGGATCTCTTATACAACATGGTACTATGGTTAATAATAATGTATTATATTCTTGAAAATTGCTAAGAGTATAGGTGTTCTCAAGAAAAAAATCAGAAGTATGTAAGGTAATTAGTATATTAATTAGCTTTGCTTAGCCATTATGATACGTACACATATTTCAAAATAACATGCTGTAGATGAACAATATATACAATTTAAATTTGTCAATTAAAATACAATTTAGTATGTAAATGTGAGTGCGAATAAAAATCATTAAATTGCAAGTTTAATAAGAACAATAATTTAGAAAAGCATCTGTTGTGTGTTGACTCTGAACAGGTGCTACAGATTTAACAATCACCAAGATAGACCCTGCCAGGGCTTACAGTAAAGCACAAAAAGTACATATAATGCAGAGTGACAGGTCTTGCCGCAGAAAAGAGAGTGGTGCTAGAGACACGTAGGATACAGGCCATCCCCGAGCAAGCGCAGACTGAATTAGAATATCAACAGTGCATGGTTAAATAAGACAACAGAGGAAAGAATGGACTAAATATTTACAGCAGGTGTGAAGGCTGAAGAGGGGAGACACCCTCAGGCACTAAAAGAAATTGTAGCAAGTCTGGATTGTGAAACACCGGGAAAGAACTAACGAGATATGTCCTAGGAGAAAACAGCGATGTTCACATCACACATGGTTCCTGAGTCCTGGATAGGATCTGGACTAAGAACAAAGTTGGTCACCAGAAAAATTTCAAGCAAGGTACGGTTATCCTTAGCACTGGAGTTTGAGAAAATAGTTTGGCTGCAACACAGAAAATGGGATGCAGCATGGGGAGCGATGAGAGGACCCCAAGAGCGTCAATGATGGCAAATGATGATAGACAGTGAGGGGTGAGAACCTGAACTGAGGCACAACATGGCATGTTTGGGAATATAGCTAGAGCAACAGAGAAAATTTCTGTGTGATGTATTTTGGGGAAGAGAGGGAGGTGTGACAGTATTTGTAACTGGACTATGTAAGCTCTTCGGAATGATCCTTAAACAATATTTTCCGTAGGCCCCTTCATTATCAAATCTTATATCTAGTTCAATAATTTGGAAGAGATAGTTTGTACAGCATTTTTTTTTTTTTTTTTTTTTTTTTTTGCTTTAGGTGCATCAGTCTTTGAATTGATACCAAATCATAGTGTTTGCTTCTTTTTTTTTTTTTTTTCTTTTCTTTAACGGAGTCTCGCTCTGTCACACAGGCTGGACTGCAGTGTCGCGATCTTGGCTCACTGCAACGTCCACCTCCTGGTTTCAAGTAATTCTCCTGCTTCAGCCTCCCCAGTAGTTGGGATTCCAGGCGTGCACCACCATTCCCGGCTAATTTTTGTATTTTTAGTAGAGATAGGGTTTCATGATGTTGGCCAGGCTGGTCTCCAACTCATGATCTCAAGTGATCATCCCACCTCGGCCTTCCAAAGTGCTAGGATTACAGGCGTGAGCTACCGCATCTGGCTGTAGTGTTTGTTTCTAAGAAAATGTGTTAAAATCGTCTCTGACATAGAGAGAAGGGGGTTTGACACACATACTGTATCATTGTCAACAGTATCTTACTCATCTTCTACTCTACCTGAAGGTGATATGAACCTCAAATAAAATTGCAAAACTTGTGTGAATTTTGTCACCATAATTTGGAGGCAGTAGTGACACTCAGTGTGTAAGAAGTCAAGAATGCAAAATATTCCAAGATAGTTCCCCCAAATGAAACATCGCTGGCATAATCATGAAACATGCTTACATTTCTTCTATAACTAAAGGACAAAAGCTAGGTGAAACACACAAACCTACTGAGTTTGGACCGTGCTACTTTGACAGTTACTTGTCAACCCCTAATGCCTGATAAGGGACTTGTCCAACACAGGTTCTGTCCACGGCCAGCCGTAGCCATGCATCAGGATAAACAAACATCAGCCTCTTTGGTGGGATCAGCTAACCACAGGTCTCTCTTGATCCTCAGCATGGAAAGCAGAAAGACCCTCACCCTCATTTAATTTCTGAAACCTCTGCACAGTAGAGCTCCCTGAGTTAATTAATATTAAAAATAGTATCCCCAAAATGCCATAATTTATTTTACTCTAAGGAGAAATTGTAAACTTTAGTATCACAGAGGCAGAATGAAACATTTAAGGCTTGCTAATAATCATAGTAATAATTGTATTTCCAGTGCAATATACCAGGTAATTTCCATGAATCTTATTCTTTAATTCTCATGGCCACCCTTTGAGGTAGGAAGTAGGAAGCTCATAATGTGAAAACTGAGGCTTGATGAGACTAAATTGATCACAGTGGCCCAGCAAACACTGGGGGATTCAAAACCAAATGTGGTGTCTGGACTCCTGACTGCACAGATTTGTGCTATGCCAGGACCCTGGGCGCCCAGCCCAGCTTCCCAATGGAGAGCCCACAACAAACAAGAGCTCTTTTCTATTATAAACCATGCAGCGTTTTGAACTCACTGTCGGTTTCAGTGACAGACGCTCATTCAAGGCATCCCAAGCATTAAATTTAAGTAAATCCATTCCCATCTCTGTTCAACAACCTAAACTCCAAGAACTATCTTTAAGCAAAGGTGTTCTCTATAGATGTATTTGGCTTGTGTTGCATTAGGAACATTTTGCTTTCGTAGAGCTGACTCTGTAAGGATCATCTTTGTTTGGTAGCCTGAGGTGTGACGTTAGCAGTGTACCTTGAACCTCAACCAAATATCTGCATTTTGTGTGTGTGCTCTTCTGCTTCACAGAAGTTGGTGATATCCTATGTATTCAACATCTTCATGCTAGTGTGATAATGTATCAAACTTCACTTCTTTGATATTCCCAGACACTTAGAAGTAAAGTTTCTCCTCTTGAATGCAATATAACATCTCTGGATCAACCTCTGAACGTTTCTATATCCCTCACAGCAGACCTTCAAACCATCTGGAAATTCAGTTCTGAGTCACTTCTACAAACATTGCCAAAACTGACAGCTTGATTAGAAAGTGGTTAGGTTATGAAAAAGATACTTGCACACACATATTTATAGCAGCACAATTTGCAATTGCAAAAATGTGGAACCAACCCAAATGCCCATCAATCAATGAGTGGATAAAGAAACAGTGGTGTGTGTGTGTGTATGTATGTATATGTGTGTATATATATGTATATATGTATATATACGTGTGTATATATATGTATATATGTATATATACGTGTGTATATATGTATATATGTATATATACGTGTGTATATATATGTATATATGTATATATACGTGTGTATATATACGTGTATATATGTGTATATATACGTGTGTATATGTATATATATACGTGTATATACACGTATATATACGTGTATATATACGTGCATATATACGTGTATATATACGTGCATATATACGTGTATATATACGTGCATATATACGTGTATATATACGTGCATATATACGTGTATATATACGTGCATATATACGTGCATATATACGTGCATATATACGTGCATATATACATATACACGTATATATACGTGTATATATACGTGTATATATACAGGTATATACACACGTATATACACGTATATACACGTGTATATATACACGTGTATATATGTACGTGTATATATACGTGTATATATACGTGTGTATATATACACGTATATATACACGTATATATATATATGATGGACTACTACTGAACGATAATAAGGAATGAATTAATGGCATTCGCAGCAACCTGGATGAGATTGGAGACTATTATTCTAAGTGAAGTAACCCAGGAATGCAAAGCCAAACATCATATGTTCTCACTCATAAGTGGGAGCTAAGCTATGAGGATGCAAAGGCATAAGAATGATAAAATGGACCTTGGGGACTCGGGGAAAGGGTGTGAAGGGGATGAGGAATAGAAGACTACAAAATGAACGCAGCATATACTGCTTGGGTTCCCCCCAAAACCTATGGAAATAAAGAAAAGGAAAGGAAGTAGTTAGGTTACTAAAAAATACCCCACAAAGAATTTGCTCTTGGCCCCTGCAAGATAATAAAGTGCAAGCCCATGAAGAATTCTAAAAGTAAAACCAATGCACTTTTGGGACTGGTGTCCAGAGAAACCACCCTGAATTTCCTGGGACTCACTTTTCACCTGCCTCTGCTCTTCCAAAGTTGCAGAGAGATCTTTTAAGTCTGTAGTCAGATGACACCAGGTCTCCTCCAAAGCTCTGCAGTGCCTTCTTCCTGCATCACTCTGCACAAACAGGAAGCCCAACAGGCAGGGCCTCCCTTCTGCTCCAAACCACCTCTGCCCATTTGTCCCTCACTGCCCTGCCCGGCACACTGGGATCACATCTCCTTTTCGAAGGGCTGATTGCCATCTTCCTTCAGGGCATTTTCTTCACTGCCTCCTCCTCCATCCATCTCTCTATACCCCTCTATCTTGTGTTAAATTACCCATCATCAAATCACATTAATTTTTGGGAGTCTCAGGTGGGAGGATCACTCGAGCCCCAGAGTTGGAAGTTGCAGTGAGCTATGATCACATCACTGCACTCCGGCCTGGACAACAGAGTGAGATCCTGTCTCAAAAAAATAATAATTTTAAAAAATTTTCCTCCATAAAACATAACCCCTGTATTAGTCTGTTTTTACACTGCTGATAAAGACATACCCAAGACTGGGCAATTTATAAAAGAAAAAGGTTTAATGGACTTACAGTTCCACATGGCTGGAGAGGCCTCACAATCATGGCGAAGGCAAGGTGGAACAAGTCACGTCTTACATGATGGCAGCAGGCAAAGAGAAAGCTTGTGCAGGGCAACTCCCCCTTAGAAAACCATCAGACCTCCTGAGCCTTATTCACTATCCTGAGAACAGCACAGGAAAGACCTGCCCCCATGATCAATTACCTCCCACCAGATCCCTGCCACAACACGTGGGATTCAAAATGAGAATTAGGTGGGGACACAGCCAAATCATATCCAGCCCCATGTGTGCGAGGATTTTGTCTCATTTATTCACTAAGCCCTTACCTAGAACAGGACCTGACACACAGTGGCTCTCAAAAATAGTCTTTTAAATGAATAAATAAATAAAATATTTTAATGAAAACATTCTGTGTAGTTAACATTTGAGACAGATCAACATTTGAAATATAGGTTTGGTGTATTTGGACGCATATGTTATTACAGTGATGTTTTAATGAAAGATTGATTCTGAATATTTTGTTTTCCTCTGTAGACCAAACTGTTATTCATTCTGCTTCATAAGTGAGTGTTAACATTCATTTTAGGGAAAGAATATTCAAATAGATTCTATTTATTTAAATACTCAGTAGGGAATGAAGAATATTATTTGTATTGTTTATAGCAAAAAGCACATAGTTGAAAATTAAACTGGTATTTGCATTTTAGTAGTAGCAATTGCAGATAAAAGATCGGAGGTATCCAGAAGATGCACCGATTAATTGCAGCATTTGTGTTGTCAGCGTATCTGTGTAGCCACGTGTATCCCTTAAAAGATAGCAAATTAAATACCTTTCCCTTCATTTGAAATGACATTCTTTTTCTGGTATTTGAAATTAAATTTAAGATCAATTGAATATCCTTTAGAAACACTTTACAAAAATGATGTTTAGTTCAGCAAAAAGAAGCCACGTATTTACTTTCTAAGTTGTAGAGATAAAAATATTCCTTGTGTGTGTTTTTTTAAGGGTTCATTTGTTTTTCCATTTTCAGAAATTGAAAAGGGAGGGTGTGGGGATCCTGGAATCCCCGCCTATGGGAAGCGGACGGGCAGCAGTTTCCTCCATGGAGATACACTCACCTTTGAATGCCCGGCGGCCTTTGAGCTGGTGGGGGAGAGAGTTATCACCTGTCAGCAGAACAATCAGTGGTCTGGCAACAAGCCCAGCTGTGTATGTGAGTATTATGCCTTGACCTGGACTCCCTCCTGTCCTGCAAGGATCTTGCAAGGGGAGAAAAGGAGAAAGACACAGACCGCCCATTTAGGGAGGGCAGCTTTCAGAATGGCTCGGGGTGCCACATTTACTGGAAACGTGCAAGGACGTTCTCGAACACCAACTTGCCTGCTTTCTTCATTTAGTAAAAACTAATTTATAGTTTCATTACATCTACTCGACAAAATGTACTTGAACGTTTCCTACCAGAAAGGGTCATCACATATATCGTTGTTTCCATCAAAAGCCAGTGATGATCTGCTGTATCAGACATCAGTACAGCAACAGAGTCCTTTGTGACTTAATAATGCTGTATAACACTTAAACACAAGTTGTTCACCAGTGCGAGCATGGGTGGTGGTATTGGTTTGGAATTCAGTTGATGAGCTGCCCACTTCCTCTTAAGAATACTATTTTAACAAGTAGAAAAGGCTTCACAGTCGATTTTAAAGGAGAGGTTTTTTTTATTTGTAAATAACTATAGCAAAGGCTGAAAAGTGTGTACAAAATTATATGGAATAAGAAGCAAAAATGTATTCTAGAGATAAATCCAACAGTTTCTCCCTCCAAAAAATTATTTATATAATATATATGATTTTAAGTACACATTCTTAAAAGTAAATTTTTCAAAATACTTTATATTATCCAACTAGAACATGATCTGATGTTTCCAAGTTATTTATTTATTCATGTTTACCCTGTAACTAATAAAAATTTTAAATTACTGGAGAAAATGCACTCACAGGAAAGTATAAAATATAAATTTAAAAGTTATGAAAGAGCAGGCTGAATTGTTCCTATGATATAGGAATATACTTTTCCATATTAATATTTGCTCTTCTGAAGGCAGAAAATTATAACTAGAAATTATAATATTTGGCACACGTTTTCAGTCAACTGGAAAGGATCATTTTTGAACCACGCTTGTGCTTGATTATGTATAGGTTCTGGTTGTGCTCTATATGATAATGAAATATTCGACTTACAAATTAGGAAAGGAGAAAACATTATGGTCCAGAATTACTTATATTAAAATAGTTGGATCATCATAGCTATTTGCAGGCATGAATTGCCTTTCCAGGTTCTTAGCTGTCTGTTTCACATGGCAATTCTTTGGATATGTGCATAACTGTTTGAAAATATATTTGCATCTTCACAGTTTCATGTTTCTTCAACTTTACGGCATCATCTGGGATTATTCTGTCACCAAATTATCCAGAGGAATATGGGAACAACATGAACTGTGTCTGGTTGATTATCTCGGAGCCAGGAAGTCGAATTCACCTAATCTTTAATGATTTTGATGTTGAGCCTCAGTTTGACTTTCTCGCGGTCAAGGATGATGGCATTTCTGACATAACTGTCCTGGGTACTTTTTCTGGCAATGAAGTGCCTTCCCAGCTGGCCAGCAGTGGGCATATAGTTCGCTTGGAATTTCAGTCTGACCATTCCACTACTGGCAGAGGGTTCAACATCACTTACACCAGTAAGTACGCCCACACAGTCAACACATCCAAGTTCTCATTTTACTTACATGTTCCCATTTTGCTTATATGTATGTGAAGTTGCATTTCAAGGTTGATACTTCAGAGGTTTTATAATCATTATGAAAATGACAGTAGTAAAATTATAGTGTTATCCTGAAAACTTAAAAACAAATGTATCACTGTATTTAGATAGGTGGCTTCATCACTCCTAAACTAAGAAGCTGGATCTCCTCTCTCTTTCATCTCCTTACATCTCTTTCTCTCCGGTTTTCCATTTATCCATCCATCCATTCATCCATCCATCATTCTATCCATCCATGCACCCACCAAACCATTATTCCATCTATTCTTCCATTCATCCATCCATCTGTCCATCTGTATCCTTTCATTCATCCATCCATCATTTCATCCATCCATGCATCTATCCATCCTTTCTTCCATCCATCTTTCCATCCATCCTTCCATCTATCCATCCATCCTTCCATCCATTCATCCTTCCATCCATCCATCGTTCCATCAATCCATTGTTTATCCATCTTTCCATCCATCCATTCATCATTCATCCATGTGTCCATCCATTCATCCATTATTCCGTCTATCATTCCTTTTATCCTTCCATCCATCTATCAATCCATATCCTTCCATTCATCCTTCCCTTCCATCGTTTTGTCCATTTATCTATTATTTCACCCATCCATCCATTCATCCATATCCTTCCATTATCCATCCTTCCATCTGTCCATCCATCCATGCATGCATGCATTCATCCATCCATCCTTCCATTCATCTTTCCATCCATCCCTCCATTCATCTTTCTTTCCATCCCTCCATTCATCCAGCCAGCCAGCCATTCTTCCTTTCTTCCTTCTATTCTTCCTCCCATCTATACAACCATCCACCCACCCACTCAGCCACTTATGCATCTTTCTTGCAACAAAGTAGTGTAGTAAAAACAACTGTGTAATATGATGTCAGGAGCCAAGGATTAAAATACAGCACTAGTATGTAATTAGTGAAGTTTAATGACAGCTCATTCTCTTTGCTTTAGGCTCCTCATTTTAAAACCTATTTTATGTAAGAATATCTACTTAAATGCACTGTAGATGGAATAAAGTGAGAGAATATTAATATGAGTAATACTACATTATGATATGCTAACTGCCTAGTTTCTTAGGCAGAATACTTAGAATTGGACAATAATTGTTTCATTTAGTGTTATAGTAACTAGAGGATATAAATTTAGTAGTCTCTCATTCTGTAAATAAAGATAGCTAGGCTTAGAGCGTCAGAGTCATATGCCCAATGTCAGAGTCCTCTGACATAGTAAGAAAAAAAGTCAGGATTCTAACGAGAGAAATCTTGAGCCCAGACACTTTCTACCACCCACCATATCAGTTCTCTCTTTGTCTAAGCTCCTATGAAAAGTGCTTTTCAAACCCTAAATTGCTGCATAAATGATAGTTATATTTGTTCATCTCCCTGCTCGCTCTTTCTCACTAGACACTGATATCCTATTTATTAATGTATTATCTATCTATGAATGATACAACTGAAATTTATATAATTATATACATTATATGAATGCTTTATAAGCTTGTTCTGTTTTCTTCTTTTTTAATACATGTAATTAATACTCAAGTATTTTTATTCCTTTTTTCTTCTTCTTTTTCTTTCAGCATTTGGTCAGAATGAGTGCCATGATCCTGGCATTCCTATAAACGGACGACGTTTTGGTGACAGGTTTCTACTCGGGAGCTCGGTTTCTTTCCACTGTGATGATGGCTTTGTCAAGACCCAGGGATCCGAGTCCATTACCTGCATACTGCAAGACGGGAACGTGGTCTGGAGCTCCACCGTGCCCCGCTGTGAAGGTGCAGTCCCTGCCACCCCCCGCTCTTCTCCTTTGAAATCACACATCTATCTTCAGGCACACACACAAACCAACAAACTGTGTTAGCTTGCTAGGGCTGCCCTAACAAAATACCACACACAGTCACTTAACCAACAGGAGTGTACAGTCTCCCAGTTCTGGAGGCTGGAAGTCTGAGATCCAGGTGTCATCGGCAGGGTGGGGTCCTTCTGGAACTCTGAGGGAGGATCTGCCTCAGGCTGGTCCTCCAGCTCCTGGCGGTGTTTGGCAATCTCTGGCATTCCATGGCTGGAGAAGCCTCACCCTCATCTCTGCCTCCAGACTCAAAAGGAGCTCTCCCTGTGTGTGTGTCTGTCCCTGTGTCTAAATTCTCCTTGTTAAAAGGACACAATCATATTGGATTGGGGGTCCCCTTCTTCCAGCAACACCTTATCCTAACTAAATTCATCTGCAAGTACCCAATCTTCAAATACAGTCACCATCTGAGGCGCTGAGGGTTAGGACCTCAATGTATGATTTTTTGGGGGGACAGAATTCAACCTATAACAGTGTTGCTTATGGTTAACTATTTTGTTGTTCTTGTTACAGCCGACATAAATACCACCTAATTTTCTTCTTCATATTTCTGTTCTGGTTACTTATCTAATAAATATAGAGAGGAAAATATTTTAAGGAAAAAGATGTTGCCTCTAATAATTACTCATTTTAAAAATGTTTACTTAGAGTATATGTTCACAGTCCATATCAGAATAGTCAGTGCGCAATAAGCTAAGAAAATATTTTTAAAAAACTTAAAAACTTACCTCTAGTGTATATCAAAGAAGTACAAATTTAAGAAGAAAAGTAAAATATCATTTTTGTCTATCTTGTTAGCATAGATTTAAACAGGTGAATGAGACGTATTATTGAAAAGGTTATGTAGAAACTGGCATTTCCTAATCATACTATTGATTATATAAAATCATGGTATTGTAGTGTAAATTCTTAGTAGGACTCTTAAAATTATTCTTGTCCTTTGAGTCATAAGTTATATTCCTGGATCAATATCATAAAGAAATAAGCAACTATACAGGTTTTTTTCAAGAATGTTTTCTGCAAGACTATTTATAGCAGTGAAGAGTTGGAAATGATTCAGCTTCAAACAGCAGAGGACTGATTAGATAAATCATGAAGAATAACAGGTATCAATACAAAGATCATAAGCTCAAAGCGTCTCAGGTGTCCTTAGCATGTGAAAAACAGAGGATGCAGGCACATGTGTCATAAATACATACATATCTCATGATAATAACTTTGTAAAACACTAAAAAAAGGCTACACACCAAAATGTTAATTATGGTTATGGGTGATTTTTCCCTCTTAGTTTATTTTTATTTTCTCAGTTGTCTTTAGTCAACATGTATTTATTTTTAATAAGTGAATAGAACAGGAATATATGTTAAATATCATAAACAGTTGAGAATTTCTGCCCTATCTAAAATACCTCGGAATAACATTCTCAGACCCATCATCTCTATCAAGGACTCTAAGCAGAGCTGGGGTCTAGGTGTGGAGCATTAAACTCCTCCATGACAACCACAGTATGGTGGGGGCATGATCCTTCACCACCTCATCCTGCCCTGGTCCCACCTCCAAAGAAGTTACTCACCATTACTCAAAGTAGAAACGCAATTTTTTTTTTTTTTTTTTTTTTGAGATAGCGTCTGGCTCTGTCACCCAGGCTGGAGTGCAGTGGTGCAATCTCAGCTCACTGCAACCTCCGCCTCCCAGATTCAAGCAGTTCTTCTGCCTCAGCCTTCCTGAGTAACTGGGACTACAGACACCTGCCACCACGCCTGGCTAATTTTTGTATTTTTAGTAGAGGGGACGTTTCAACATGTTGGCCAGGCTGGTCTCAAACTCCTGACCTCAGAGGAGAAGTAGAAACTTCTAACCAGGTCCTGTTTATAGTATCGTCTGGTAATACTACACGTAAAGGAGGGTATTCTGATGTTCACCCTTTTCATACATTGTTAAAACAATTTGTGGGTGGACAAGAAGCACCACCCATGGGTGAAATATTGATAAATAGAAGGGCAACAAAACCCTCTTAATAGCTGAAATTTCATTTGTATGTATTTCCATCACATATGGTAAATGTACAGTTTTTATGTTTTATGCTGTACAAAATGTTAATAAATGGGTAGGTTTTCATCTTTTATAAATGAGTAAATATATACACATGTGGTGCTCAAAGATATGATACTAATGATAGGGCACAGTTAGTCACAGGTGCAAATCGTATTCTAGCCAAGCATATTTCACTGACTTGGAAGCATGAATTTTCAGGAGAAAGAAGTTTAAAGTGAACACTACACTCTCATCTCTGTTCTGTCCTGGCCACAAGTCAAGCTGTGCCTTATGTCCTTTACCATAATAGGCTGATTGCAGATATGTTACAACCTGCAGGGTGAGTGTGGACCACAGCACAAACAGGATGAGGTTAAAGGCAAAACCCAGCTATAGGTTGTTAACAAAGGAAGCCCTCGGCAGAAAGAAAAAGTTAATAGGAAAAGATGTTAAAAGTCTACCTGCGTTGAGAAACCTAATGACTGAGTGCAGCTGAGCCTCAGAGAAGGTAGGGGACGCTCCGATGGAACAGGCGGGTACCCCGATCACTGCCTCTGCTGAAAACAAATAGAAAGCCAACTTTCAGAAGTAAATGCATCTAGTAGGGAAAAAAATAAAATAGCAATGAAGCAGTGAGTAATACAGATAACAAACTTGATTTAAGAAATGTTTGAAGAAGCTCACATCCCTTACAGAATACTCTTATTTATTGTTTTTCTTGAAAAGTGTTTTGTTTAAATCAATTATATAACTGACCACAAAGTGAACCTTAACAAATTAAAATAAGTTATAGGTCTCATGCCCTGTAATATTCCAATTAAAGTAGAAACATGTAATAAAAATAGAACTACAAGCAAATGTCTATCCATAAAAAGTCCACTATAATTTTACATTAAAGAGAAACTCAAACCTTAATGCCTATACTATCCCATCTGGAAACCATTAGAACAGTACTTTCTATGAGAAACAATGTGAGACAGCAAAACCTGTGTTTCAAGGAAAATGTCTATCTTTAAGTCCTCTAACGTAGAACAAAATGATCAAAAAATAAAGAAATTTAATAATAAGATTAAAAAGTTAGAAAAAACAAAAATAAATTAGGATCCTATTAATAAAATTCAAGTGTTATAAACAATTTAAAGCAAGAGTGAGTTGTTAATATCAATAAAATAGACAAACTGTTTATGATTCTGATAAAAAGAACTAGGAAAGAAAAATGTTATAGATATTTGGTAACATAAAAGAGAAATTATCCATACCATAAAAATAATATAACTTTACGTAAACAGTGAAAAGCTCACAATAGAGCAATTTTTTTATTTAAAAGCGTAGGTTATTTATTTATTCTGGCAGAATTTTCTGGATGCCAGGCACATGTTGAGTATAAATTTTATGGCCTCCGGGCAAAAGGTTTCTCTTTCTCTCTTTCTTCTGCTTCTAACAGGCTCGTATTCCTCAATGCAGCTCAGTGGCATCATGAAAATCTCAAGCTATTTTGGGGAAAAATGACTATACATGAAAACACCAACTCTGTGGCAGCAAAGCTTAAAGTCTGTAGAAAACGGGTGATTTTTTTAGCAAAAGATAAAATACCAAAAATGACTCACATAAAAAGTATAAAATGTGCGTAAAGTAGCATAGAAAAGAATTGAAAAAAAAGATTAAGGATTGAACATTGAAAAAGACACAAGTACCCTACAGGGGTGTGAGTGAGTTCTCTTTCAAGTCTAGAGAACCTTAGTGTTGTGCACTATCACAGATAATGGAGAAGACAGGCTGCATCCTTCATAACATTTCATCAAGCCAGCATTAATGTAACCCCAATGAGATTGTTCTAATAAAAATAAAGCCATAGGAAAATACACATATGTAATCAAGAAGGGGTGTATGTGTGTGTGTGTATTTTAGAAATACAGTATCAGGGAATTCATCACTGTAATTTAAATCATCAAAAAAAAAAAGCAAAGAAGAAATTGCTTTCTAAACACCTCATTGGCTCATTGGTATATTTGCTTTTTTTGTTATCAGCTAAGTGAGTATGAACATGATTGATGATGTTCATCAAATATTTTTGGTCTCCATCAGGTGGAATGTCTTTTCTTGAATCTTGTAGATTAAAGGAACCTTGTCATGGGTTCTGGTCAATTAGGTATATGAGGAAATGCTGTACTCAACTTCTGGGTCAGCGTCTTTGATTGCTTTCCTAAGACCTTTTTCCACCTGCCATAGCAACTGAAGAAGGGACCTGTGTCTCACAGACCTAGACATGCCACATTTGTGAGAAATTCACTTCCAACTGTAGCTACTACAGTTGCAGGGCTGTTAGTTACGGCAGTGTAATCTAATCCAAACTGACTAATACAAACTTATTACTTACTATTTACTTACTTACAATCTACTTACTGAGATCATTATTATTTTAGTGTAAATTTTGCTCATCGGCAGTGTTATTATTAAAGTGTCTATTTCATCAGGATAAAGCAATTCAGGTTCTAACATACACTGTAAATTACAAAGTGATGGGTAAGAGTATAATAAAATAATTAATATTTGGCAAGTTAGACATATTCCAAGAAACATAAAAATGCAAAATAAAATTACTAAAGTAAAGGAAACTTTTGGTTGGTTATGTATTTATATGGAAATTCACACATAGAAATAACTTATCATGCAGATTTTAGAAATTGCTCAACTATCATAATTTTTTTGGAATTCTGCATCTGCCATATGTCTTTCTTATATAGTATCTTTGGATGGTTAAACATGACAAAATAAAAGTTATATATTTAACATATTTAATTTTGCTTATGTTGTATTCATAAAAGAATGTGTTGCATTGCTTTAAAAAACAAAAGAATTGAATTACATATAATTATGTATATCGATATGTGATTCATAGGCTGCAAATGTGAATTTAAGAAATTAACAAGAAAAATTAAAATATTAATAAGTATAATTTTGGTTGTTTTAAAAATTATCACAAAAAATCAAGTGTTCTTCAGGAGCTCAAGTTAATAAAAATTACCCTGCTTTCATATTTTTAAACTACAGAATAATGCATAGGTATAAAAATAACAATTGCAACTTATTTGGGAAAAATATATATATATAATATATCAAAAAATATGATCTATAAAGCAATCCCAGTGCTATCCATTATTAACATGTTTTTAATTTCCACTGCCGTGTTCACTGAATAAAATTTTTCTTTTATTACATTTATAACAGATGGACAATTTTTTATCCACTTTTCAAGTTTAACATTCTATTGCAAAGATTTTCCCATATCAACAAAATTTCCAAACGTTACTTCAAATATATTTGCCACATTCCAATATATGGTCATGCAGTTTCCATAAATTTTTGCTTTTATTTTTTCTGTATTTGTTTCCTGACGTAAATTAAGATACTATTGGTAAATCCATAAATTTCACTAATTCACATTTTTTCTAGCATCAAAACATGGCTAAAATGATATAAACTTTTTGCATTTTTACATTATACATATGGCCATTTTTAAATAAAATAAATATTTTTTCCAAAAGGATTTTTTCACCTTGGAGTATTTTCACGTACTTTATTTGATATCTATAAATCCACAAAGATGATTGCTAATGGCAAATAATTTTGAGAGAGAATACATAAAATCTGAAAGAAAACATGTGGCCAGGGACATATTCTTAATTACGGTATGAAATATTGGTATGCTATTTAAAATTCCTTTAGATGATACAGGTATGCATAATCACTTTCACTGAGCAGTAATTATATACCCTTTCAAACTTTATTTCTCCTTTGCAATTACAAATCACTGTCACAAAACCTTGCAAAAGGTTCAATGCAGTCTAATTCTACACTTATCAAATTTGATTGAACATTTTGTTTTGTTTCACACTCACAAATAATATGTTGCATGTGGCTATTTATTTTAATAAAATGCACACAATGGAAGTAAATAAACACATGCATACACACACCTAAGGGTGTGTATATGTATCCATCTTGAGATGTAAGGTCATTTTACATTTGCTTATGTATAGATAATTGTTAAATTCCAAATGCATGTAAACTATAGATAACCGGGCATGTACGTAATGAAATGGTTAGCAGTTAAATGAGATAATTCAGTTAGCACAGAGAACTCACGTATACATTACCATTACTAGAGAAAAAGAACTTTGCTTCAAGGTAATGGTAAGTACATGGAGGTAGCATATATAGACCCTGCTTTCAATAAATGTACAGTTTCCTTGGGAATAAGATTTGCTTTGATACTTGAAAATATTCAGTCTATGAACACAGAAGCAGATTCTGGCTTTTATCCGGGTATTGTTATGGCATATCCTTCTGTCTCATTGGATCTAATAGATATTCTACGTCTTGTTTTAGCTCCATGTGGTGGACATCTGACAGCGTCCAGCGGAGTCATTTTGCCTCCTGGATGGCCAGGATATTATAAGGATTCTTTACATTGTGAATGGATAATTGAAGCAAAACCAGGCCACTCTATCAAAATAACTTTTGACAGGTAAGAAAAAAATTAGTCTTCATTTGGACCCAATGGTGTGTGTCTCTTCCATAGTTTTAGTAAATGGATCTTAAACTTTAAAAAGATGGCAGTTTTTTTCGGTTCCCGCATAGGAGCACACTTTACCAGAAACAGGCACTTACTTGTAAGTTTTGTTCTTCTTCAGTGGTATCCTCTAAGCCCACAGTGAGCCAATGCTCTGGAGGTTAGTAGGGGAACTGCCAGTCCTGGAGGACCATTCCCGAGGTCCGACCCTTGTATCTGACTCTGGGTTTGGGACCTGCACTGGAATCAATTCAGCTTGATGTCTGATTGCACATGGAAACCACTCTGGGTCCCATGGTCCCTTAGGTGTCTTCTGTGGTAGAGGAAATCAGCTCTCCTGTTCTGGTGGTGGCTGCTGGTCACTCGAGGGCAGCTAGTGATGCTGAGCGGGCAATGGGGTGCGGACAGCAGATCAATCACCAACTAATCGCCTATGAGTGACATTATCACTAGAATGTTGCTTGGCTTAGCTATTTAATAATGCATTTCATGATCTAAAAAATAAGCATGCTGGGCTGCGTAGGTATTTGTTTATTAAAAAATAAGCAGGCTATTGGAGTTCTATATAAGAAGGGTTTTCCCATTTCTCTCAACACTGAGACCAAATTGATGATTAAAAACTAAAAAGATTTTGTCATGAGCAACATGAACCAAAGGCTAGGGAGGCATCTTTGTTGAAAGTTTCAAGGTTATTCTCTGCATAACATTGGGCTTTCTCTAACAATGACCTTCTTCTTGACTAGACTACATTCTGGATTTCAGTATCCGGAATATTATGGTGTCTCAAGATAGATGAACTTCATTGTATTATTATCTTTTTGTTTTCAAATGATCAATGCTAACATCAACACAGGAAAGGTTTTTCAGCAGGAGTTGTGTTAACTTTCAGTAATTGTATTTATTTGAAATAATTATTTTTATTTTTTCACTTGCTTCTGACAAAATAATAATAATCCCCAATAGCACAATCTCTTAGAACAAGAGAAAAAAGTTGTTTATAAATCCATCTATATTAGAAAGTGAATTACTGTGTATAATCAATCATTTGAAAAAATACTAACTCTGTAAGTATTCAGTTGATTACGTTGGGTTTCTTACTAATTTCTCCACTTACTGGTATTGGCAGGCGGAGCTGAAGCACGCCCTGACTCCCAGCAGCGTATCAAATTTAAGTAATTTAGTAAAAGTAGTGATCCTATATTCTTCTCTGGCCAGTCTATTAGCCCTCTATTTTCAGTTGCCTGAAGGAAGATATTTGCTTGATTTTTCCCAATCTCATTCATTCAGTATTGTTTCAGTGTGATGTTTTGCTAAATTCCATTTGGAAATACCCGATATTTCTGATATTTTTAGACATGTGTGATCTGTACTCTAGACATAGTACACAGCTCTTAAAAGATGAATTGCATAAGGAAATGTTCATTTCCACCATGACCGATGGGCTGACACCTTAAAGGATGGGATTGTGCGCACAAATTCTGAGCTCTGTGCTGATGGTATTGCCAGGCGGTGTGTGTTAGGCTGCCCAACAGCAAAGAACATCCAGATGTTTCTGTTTCCAACGTCATCCTGGAAATCTTCCAGCTGTTGAAATAGGCACTTTGTCAGTCCTCACTGTTACTAAAGAAACAGGATAGGACAACTTCAGCATGACTATGTCAAAGGAGATTGCTTTCACGCTTAGCCAGACTTCTTGAATTTGAACTCAAACAACTGAGAAATCAGTTTTAAGAAAAAGATTTAGAATAGTGTCATAAGACAAAGTTGGCACTATGCAATCCCAAATGTGGCAGCCTGTGGCCTTATTCTGGTCCAGATGTGTGATATACAAATGGTTCAAATTCCTCTTTATGGAAGAATGGGGCCCAGGGTACCACATTCACTAGTTGCAGGAATAGGTAATCATGTGCATTTGCACTAATCAGTGTATCCATGATCTAATGTATACAGGACACAGCCCTTTGGTTTCAACATCGTTTTCTGTTGCTACACGCCATGAGGCTAAGATTGCTTCCCCTCTCCCAAGTTTTCTCCCAATTCATCAGCAACATCCAGCACAGAGCTAATGGCACAGGCTTCCGTGGGATCCTTTGGCTCAAAGTGACTGAGTGAGTCAGAGTCTTATGACGCTTAAGCTGCTCCCTGAGAGCCAAGTCAGGCACTCAGAAACCGGGTTAGCTCTTCGAGGATCAGATAGGCCCACTTAGAAAATTATCTCCGTGCCTGGAGTGGTACCTACATTGCATCACAGGGGAGCCAAGTGGCTGCAACTTTATATATATATATAAAATCTCAGGCTAGATTCTCGGGAAGCATAAGAAAACTTAAGCAGTTTTTGGAAGCTGTTGTAACTTTCTCAAGTTATTAAAGTATCCTTTCATGTCTGAAATGGCAACATACCCATGGTTGTTCTAATGTCTTGAAAGAGTTATTGCAATTTAAAAAGGCACAGGATTTTTTTTTTCAGGAAAGGTGTTTAAACTCATCACACATTTTTAATGATCTTCTTTGTTTAAGAGATGATTTCACTCTAGTGCACCCATTTTAAGATGTCTATAATTATGTTAAATAGGGAATGGTAAAAATAGTTTAAAAATATATAATTGAGTTTTTTCTATTTGGGAATAATCTATTTGTCTATCTATCTATCTATCAATCTATCATCTAAGAAAACTAATCTGGTTCATAGTATTTTTGTTTAAGCTGAATAAAGGCCTCCTCTTGTGTCTGTAATATTGTAAGACAGAATATTAGATAAGAGAAAGGGATTTAAGCTGTGCCGTCTCATCAAGAAAAGAACATACTATCCTTATATTTGTACCCAAGTTTTAAGCATATGTAATTTCAACTATTTTCTTCATGTTAACGTACATGGGTTTCTGATTAAGGAATGAGGATGTCAGGAGCACGTCTGTAAGCTGGCAGTTCTGCATGTCTTTTCTGATGGGATGTATATATTTGCAGATTTCAGACAGAGGTCAATTATGACACCTTGGAGGTCAGAGATGGGCCAGCCAGTTCGTCCCCACTGATCGGCGAGTACCACGGCACCCAGGCACCCCAGTTCCTCATCAGCACCGGGAACTTCATGTACCTGCTGTTCACCACTGACAACAGCCGCTCCAGCATCGGCTTCCTCATCCACTATGAGAGTGAGTTGCACCTTCCCTTGACAGCCCGGCAGGGCAGCATGCATGGGAGAACTAAAGATCTGGGTTCTTATTTCCAGCCTGCAGATGACTGTGCTAGTTTACTGATCCTGCTTGACTCTAGCAAAACCATACTATGCAATTGTAAGAACTTTCTGTTATTCATAAGAGAGCATCTTGGAATTACTGCCTTTTAACTCTCAAAAATACGTATCCATCGCGTATGACAAAGTAAAATAATAAAAACAATGAAATGGGTTCATCTTCTGCATAGAATAATGGAAGTAATAATATACTTCTATTATTAGAAAATGTACTTTCTGAGCAAAAGTCTTATAGGATATATTACTAAAATTATGTTAACCTGGGCAATGGAGAAAAGGATCCTTGCTAGAAAAACAGGGTTAGGTCAATTTGTGGTACCGAATCTGAGTATAGATAGACACGTTTCACTGGGTGAAAGTCAGGTAACAAGAGGCGAAGGAATTAAAACCTGCTAAACCTTACCAAATTCCAAACAATTGTTAACAGTCTTTCAACAAGCATGAATAATACTTTAAAACAATTATTAAACATATTTTAAAACAATTGTCAAAATATTATAATGGAATGTATTTTGCAAACAGTCCAAACTTCCACATGGAAAGTTTTCCTGCCCTTGTTTACTGAAATCAAAGTTTTAGCTTCTGAAATGATGAGATTAAGTAATTGTATTATTTTATAATAATATTTATGCAAATATACTTCTGAAATCTAGCTGATGGGAATCACCCCTAGGAATACATTTTTAACATTAGCCAATTAAAACAAAACAAAGCAAAGCAGCTGTTATTCTTTTCTCTGTTTGAAAACACTTCCCTCAAAGAGTAGCACGGAAAAAGCGAGAAAAAGTGGCAATTACTATTGGACCTGAAGGAATCAGACTTTTATTTTGCCAAAGTTTTATGGCTGTTCTTTTTCAGAGCTTTATCTCAAGTACTATTGTAAAGATGTTTTTAAAATTTACATATACCCACACGTATGATTTTACAAATGCATGCATAGAATCATGTCTACTATGATGGGTTTCAAATCTCCTTTTGTTCGTTTTCTTGCCTTCCATTCCCCACATCACCTCCTATTACTCTTGTTACCCTCTCCCTGAGCCCCACTCCAGCACATTTAAATTAACAACCTGTTATGTGCATTCCTCGGTTTTACATACTCATATAAGTATACACAAACGTGCATATGCATGTATATCTTAAGATTTTGTCTACTTTTAGATAAAAATATTCCAATATCAGGAAAATTGCTTATCAATGACTTAATGACAAATTTCAAATTTAATTCAGTTATTACTCTTCACATATATAGATATACAACATTTGCTCCAAAGTAACGTATTTTGAAACTTAAAGTAAAATTTAAGAACCAGGAAATTTTACATTTTGTTTCTTTAAAATGTCCATTCGAGTTGTCACTTCTCTTTGAAGTAACAATATGTGTAAACATTGCAGTGATCTGAATTTGTAAGATCCCTAATAAGCCTTGTATTTTCTCATCCTCTCCCACACCCCTCCCCCCAACTTTTTCTACACCAGAATTTCTTGACTCTTAGATATATAGTGCATGAAACTTCAGAGAATAATTATTTTCAGGCATTGACAAATATTAGAACACTTTTCCTTTCTTTTCATCTGTATTTCTGTAGCTGTAGATGACTTTGCTTTTTCTACTTCCATTTGAGGGAATGTGTTCCAAAGGCTAAGTGAAGGCAGAAGAAACTAATTTCATTTGTTTATCCAAGTCATTTAAATAAATGTCTTCTTCTTATTTCTCTTTCTGGAAAATCAGGAAATGATAAAAAGTCATTTCATAAATTTCTATTTAGCTTGTCATCCTCACTAATATTATAATAATAATATTTTATTATTATAAAATATGGAATACACATTATATTATACTATAATATAATAATTTAATATGTAAGTAATCCTGACAACTATTTTTATAATCTTAAAAGAATGACTACCCTATGTTTTGGTATTCTTTTCATTTATCCTGTGTTTAAAAGTAGAGGGCAGGCTTCGTAAGGCATTCTTCCATCACCTGGAGTACCCCTCAGAGAGTAAAGCTCTTTGCCATTTTTCTTTTTTTCTATATATATATATATATATATATATATATATATATATATATATAATTTATTTTTTTATTATTATTATTATTATACGTTAAGTTCTAGGGTACATGTGCACAACGTGCAGGTTTGTTACATATGTATACATGTGCCATGTTGGTGTGCTGCACCCATTAACTCGTCATTTACATTAGGTATATCTCCTAATGCTATCCCTGCCCCCTCCCCACACCCCACAACAGGCCCCAGAGTGTGATGTTCCCCTTCCTGTGTCCATGTGTTCTCATTGTTCAATTCCCACCTATGAGTGAGAACATGTGGTGTTTGGTTTTTTGTCTTTGCCATAGTTTGCTGAGAATGATGGTTTCCAGCTTCATCCATGTCCCTACAAAAGACATGAACTCATCAATTTTTATGGTTGCATACTATTCCATTGTGTATATGTGCCATATTTTCTCAATCCAGTCTATCATTTTTAGGCATTTGGGTTGTTTCCAAGTCTTTGCTATTGTGAAAGTGGGTGAAGGATATGAACAGACACTTCTCAAAAGAAGACATTTATGCAGCCAACAGACACATGAAAAAAATGCCATTTTTCTTTCTCTCCATCCCTAAAAAGAAGAAGAAAACTGTCACCAAGATGATGCCTGTTTATACAGTGATAATTGTGTGAGAGTCATAAAGTTCTGATCTGCTGGAGAGTCTAGCATTCCCTCTTCTTTCCACCTTGTTGGAAGTCTCAGGAGGTAGCTGTATAGCCACAGAAGTGAGCAGAGGCCTCACCTAGTGAGTGAAGACAGGAAATTGTTGCGTTTGGAACTTTCCAGCACTGTGACTTCAAAGGCTCACTGCTCTAAACACACATCTAGACTTGCATATAGTGAACTTCCAGAAGGCTCTCAAAGGTTTGTCACCTATTCCTCTGACTTAAGGGAGAAATAGGACCTCAGAAGGATGTGATACTGAACCTTGACTTGGGATCACTTCTTATTTATGTATCAGTCGCTGTGTATTTGAAGAGACATATGGAAATGTACATAAGTGAATGAGGTTCAGGACATGGCTTTTTGTTTGCTTGTTGTAAGAAAATGAGTCAGGAAAGGCCTGGGATTTTATGAGTGCTTATCACCAGCCCTGCACCTAAGGGTTACCTGCGGGGTTTAAAATAAAACCAATGCCTGAATACCAGCTCAGATGTTCTGGTTGCTATTTCTGTGGGTGGTGTAGAGATATGAGTGCTTTCAGAGGCTCGCAACCCACTCAGAGGGTGTCCCCGTTTACCCGGTGCTGAAGGGGAAGGTTTCTTCAAACATCATAGTGCACTAACACATCCCTGGGAGCTTAGTAAATTGTACAGCCCCAAGCCCAGATTCCAAATATTGTGATTCAGGGAACTCATGATGAAAATCAGAATCCTGAGCTTTTAATCAAGTCCTCGAGGTGATTCTGAATAAGGTGAAGGCAGACGCAGATCCCGGGCTCCAGGGAGAGAGAAAACCCACAGGCAAGCAGGAGGGAAGGGGCCAAGGCCAGCAGAGGTCACGGAGGGTTAAAGGAACCAATGAGTCCAGCGAGAAAAGCAGAGACAGAGAAAAAGTGGCAAAGCGTGGAAGAGAAAAATGCTACCAACCCCTTCATCCAGGTAACCCCGTCTAGCACCCTTCGACAAAATAGGTTCTGAAGCCAAGATGCAGGCACTAGAAAATGATTACACTCACTCATCCAACACATTCTTTGAAAGTGGGTTGCCTGTGACCCAAGAATTATTATTTTTTTTCAAGTGAAAATGTCATCCAATTTTTATTTATTTTATTTTTTTATTATACTTTAAGTTTTAGGGTACATGTGACAACGTGCAGGTTAGTTACATATGTATACATGTGCCATGTTGATGTGGTGCACCCATTAACTCATCATTTAACATTAGGTATATCTCCTAATGCTATCCCTCCCCCCTCCCCCCACCGCACAACAGGCCCTGGTGTGTGATGTTCCCCTTCCTGGATCCATTTGTTCTCATTGTTCAATTCCCACCTATGAGTGAGAACATGAGGTGTTTGGTTTTTTGTCTTTGTGATAGTTTGCTGAGAATGATGGTTTCCAGCTTCATCCATGACCCAAGAATGATTTATATCAAACTCTTTATGCCTCTTAAAAACAGGAATATTGCTCATCTCTTCTGTTTCATCATACATGTTTCACATTATAAACACTCCTTGCTTTCTGAAATTATTAATGACGCTTCTTCATGCCCATAGAGGCCCATGCCAATGATCTCTACAGACAAAATGTGTTGCAGAAATCACAGCCACAGGTACTCGAGGCTGACTTATATTTGCAGCGGTGCTACAAGGCAATGTGAGCTACTGTAAACAGCATTCACTCCAGAAGGCCTTTCTGAATTGTGTGGCTCAAAGGTTGAAGTCATTTTTTTGAGGCTTTTGTAAAAGCAAACCTAGAATTGCAGTTCTGCTTCATGCACTCAGTCTTAGGAATCATCTCATATGTTAGTGTCCAGCGACAGTCTAGCCATTCTTTACGAGGAATGTGGCACAGTGTCTGTATATAATAGCGATTGCATTCTCGCTCCAGAATGATCATCTGCTTTGTATGTTGATCTTTAAATCACCACTTTAAAATTGTCATAATTTTGTAAGAAATTGGAAAATAAATGGAATTCTCAAGGGTATGAAGGTTTTCCATTTAATTTTAGAGCATTTTTTGAAAATGCTGTCAAAAGTATCTTGTTAATCATCTCTGAAGGCAGAAGAAAGATTCATCACTTGTAAATGTACATACTCTACTGTGTGATTGATATATCATGTTATTCATGGAAGAAACATTGTGATAAAGGAGTATATTTAGTGGTTTATATGTGCGTGCACACCACACCAATTGTTTGCTGAGATTCGGTGACTTTTTATATGATCAGAAAAGGAAAGGAGAGTGGTCGGGATGTAATGGTACTGGATGCAATGCAAAGGTATATATAACATGCCCATGCATGCTAACACTCACAGGCACACGCATGGATGCATACATGAGAGAGAGGAGAAAAGCAGGCAAAGGCTCAGGTTTCAATATCAGTAAATAATGTAACATGGCCAGTTTGCTTAATTTCTTGGCTCACTGGCTTTATCAACTGTGACTTTTCAACCTCTATTTTGAAACCTCTCGGAGGCTGTGAGAAGTGACATCTCTAAGCTCGGCATATGAAATGTGCTCAGGAAATGTTCATTCCTTCCTTGGACTAGGAGTTTTATAAAGACTGTTGATTCATACAGAACCCTGCTCATATCAAATGTACCTCCGTATGAGCTGCACACGGATTATTTGCAAAGTAATCAACTCCCTTTATTCATTAAGTAGCAAATGTATTCAGTCACTTATTTTGCAAAGACCAATTGAAAAAAAAAAAGTAATGTTTGTAACTATTTGTATCAAAAATTCATTGTTGCTTTAAGGTTCAAGTAAGAAGGAGTGGGAACAGACTCTGAATATACACGTCGTTTCAACAAAGTCCGGTGGTCTGTATTTCTCTTTGTGCTGTCAGGCAGGAGACAGAATGGGAAAGAAGGTAGGACTTTGCCCTACCTTTCCCACAAGGTAAATTGGCTACCTGTGTCCACAGACTGGTCTTAGTTTATCATAAATGTATTGTTCCATTGGAGATAAATCACCTGCTACAAAATTCCTTTTTTTTTTTTTTTTTTTTTTTTTGAGACAGAGTCTTGCTCTGTCGCCCAGGCTGGAATGCAACGGCACAACCTTGGCTCACTGCATCCTCTGCCTCCTGAGTTCAAGCGTTTCTCCTGACTCAGCCTCCCAAGTAGCTGGGATTCCAGGTGCCCACCACCACACCTGGCTAATTTTTATATTTTTAGCAGAGACAGGTTTTCATCAGGTTGGCCAGGCTGGTCTCAAACTCCTGACATCAGGTGATCCACCCACCTCGGCCTCCCAAAGTGCTGGGATTACAAGCATGAGCCACCGTGCCCAGCCAAATTCCAGATGTTCTTTCTCACCATTTTCTTGTTTCAGGATTCTTTTACATGGCCAGTTTCAGTTGAACTGGAAATCGAATGTAGTATCATAATTCTACCACTCAACAGTCCTCCCGTCCTGTACTCTCCATTCAAACAGTTTGTAATGAAAACGAGAACAATGTCTGCATATTTCAAAATTCAATAGTGGTGTCAATTATTATTTAAAAATGAATGGAAGTATTATGGCATAATATTGGAACTAAGCATCAATTGTGACCTTAAGAGTTTATTCAGTTTGAAATGTAAATAATTCAACATTTTAATTCGATGTTTTTATTTCTACCGCAGTTTGTCTCTTTTCACTGTAAATTTTGTGTGGGAAAAGTTTAGTTTATGGTTTATAAATTTCATTATTAAAACCATTAATATATAATCCTCACTTATTAAAACCATTAATATATAATCCTCACTTATTCTAAGATAATCGTTCCTATTACTGTTTTGCCGTAGTGCATACACTGTTGTTTAGTGACCACAGAAACCTTTTTGAAGAAATGAAATTATTTAGTTAACTGTTTTTTTTCCCCAGAAACCTAGAGATCAGTGCATTTCTTCAGCAGAGCTTCTTCTTTTGAGGGAATTCTTGTCTTGATTTTGATCTTGATGCTAGGAGCTGGATGTCATTATCCTTAGCAAACTAATGCAGCAACAGGCAACCAAACGCCGCATGTTCTCACTTATAAGTGGGAGCTAAATGATGAAAACACATGGACACATAGAGGGAACAACACACACTGGGGCCTATCAGAGGGTTGAGGGTAGCAGGAAGGAGAGGATCGGGAAAAACAACTAATGGGCACTAGGCTTAATACTTGGGTGAGGAAATAATCTGTACAACAAACTCCCATGACAAAAGTTTACCAATGTAACAAACCTGCACATGTACCCCTGAACTTAAAATAAAAGTAAACAAACAACAACAACAAAAAATCATTCACCCAGCACTGGGTTTTAAAATAAAAGTAAACAACAACAACAAAAATCATTCACCCAGCATTGGGTACCATGTGTTCATTTGGAGCCAATAATGCATAAAATCTGTGGGAGTGTCCTGGAAGAAGTCATAAACAATGCCTCTGAAAGTGAATGTGTGTGTGTGTGTGTGTGTGTGTGTGTGTGTGTGTGTGTGTGTATGCATGTGTGTGGTGTGTATGTAGAGAGAGGGAGGGAGGAGCAGGTGGTAGGTAATAGATTTCTAGCCAAATGATATCCACGTTGCCTCTGGCAGATTGAAAGCTCCTCCAGAGTTGGAAGGAGGCTTTCCTGCCATACTGCGCAGCAGCAAGGACAGTTACATTCTGTTGTTTAGGGCAATAGACATGTGTTAGTGTTTAGAAAATTTGTTAGAAAAACAGTTTAAGAAAAAAGTATTGGGGCCAGGCCCAAGTTATAGCACTCAAATTTTGGAAAAATAAAACATATGCAATGATCAGAAACAATATCCCGAAGATCACCTTTAGAGACTAAACAGTCTTTAAATTAGAAATATTTTTAAGACTTTTAATTCACAGTTCAGATATTCATTCTAATGTTCTGATGTTTACTGAGAGGATGACACAGCAATAACAAGGATTTTTTATTTCTTCGCATATGTAAACATTACAATGATATTCTTTTCCCTTATTCTCATTTTCCTTAGCTCTTAAAATATATGTTTTTCTAAAAAGAGAAATGAGAAATGTGAGAGGAGAAAAGAAACTCTCATAATGATATGATCATAATTACTTCATGCACATTAATTTTTCCCATCGTTAGCAAAGGCTAATAGTAGCTATCTTGCAAGTGGCTGACTTAAACTAAAATTTGAAAATAGCATGGATTTATGGAATGCAAACTTAGAAAAATAACACTAGCACAGTTTTTAATTGCATTATATGTGTATATGTTTGGGTGTATGTATGCATTTATTTGAAAGTTAAACTGCCAAAATCTAACTGGAATATATAAATATAGAAGTACATATGTCTATATTTAATACATATATAAGACACAGGGAGAGTGGTGGTGAAAAATAGAAAACAGGAAAAGTCTTAGACTTTATTTAGTGCAATTCATTGATTTTCCAAGAAGAAAAGTAAAATTCAGAGAAGTTAATTAATTATTCAAGGTTGTTGTATGTAGATAATATCTGGTAAACAGCATAACAATATAAATCTCTCTTTTAAAAAACGAGGTCAAATGTTTGAAGATGCATTGGCTTTTATGTCCATGGATTGTTGGGTTCACTTGCATAATGTTTCAGGTCTTATTATTTCTGAGACTATTTCGTAGTTGATGGCGTGGGTCTCTATTATTTTCAATCAACCAGAAAGATCCTCATCGACTGCATTCGTTCTGTGCATCCAGGTGTGACGCTTGAGTCGGATTCCTGCCTGGACCCGGGCATCCCTGTGAACGGCCATCGCCACGGTGGAGACTTTGGCATCAGGTCCACAGTGACTTTCAGCTGTGACCCGGGGTACACACTAAGTGACGACGAGCCCCTCGTCTGTGAGAGGAACCACCAGTGGAACCACGCCTTGCCCAGCTGCGACGGTAGGTACAGCTCAGTGAGGCAATGCACCAGCAGGGTGTGCAGAGACAGCGCACACGTCTAACTAGCTGGGTGGTGTGTGTATTTCAGGGGGTGGTACCTTACGACTGGCGTGAGTTCCCTCTGAGAAGTTGTATACCATCATCGTATCATTCCCGATCATTTGAAGTTTACCTACCACCGTGTATGTACTAGATAGAACAACTGTCCTTCAACTTTATCCCCGAATGAACAAACTTAGGGAGCTTAGTTCTGCACATGTGTTTTACATATGGTATTTATTGAAACTGGCACGTGGGGCGGTATAGTCGCCACACATATCCTAGGATGTCAGACCTGATTTTCCCCTGACATACGTCCCAGTGTCTCACTTCCTCTCAGTCTACAGTCCGTGTCTTTGTTTCCGTGGACTGAATGTCTAGCAGAGCCTTCTCCTGGGAGTTCTCATTCTGAGCTCAGAAGCTGTCAGGAGATCTTCAGCAGCTTTTTGTGATAACAGCCACTCCTGTTGTCCTACACAAATCTTCTCTTGGGAATCTCAAGACAAATAACATTCCTGATTATTTTGTGTTATTGTATTGCTCAACGTTATACTATGCTGTGTGTAGTTATAATAACAGTTAGGTAAATATGTTGCTTGTAATCATTTGCCAAAAAAACTTGGGGTATTTTGCCCTTGACCATGAATATAACCCCAGTATAACATTGTTTCTATGGAAAATAACATTCCAAGAAACATTGTTTCTGCAGAAAAACGTTCCAGGAAACATTGTTTCTATGGAAAACAGTGTTCCAAAACACATTGTTTCTATGGAAAAAGCAAAAATATTTCATTTACATCTTCAATACTTTTCACAGACAAAGGTATTTCCTTTCAAACATGATGCATGCATTCATTAAACACCTTGACTTCTTTAAAATGAGCACCCAAAATAACAGGGTTTATGGAAAAATTCTGCTTAACTGCAGATCACTCAAAATCTTTGACCTTTGTCACCAAAGCACGAACCCACACAGTAACTGGCACTGTGGCCGAGACCACAGAGTGCAGGTGGACAGCACAGAGCTGCTGGAGCCCTCTCAGGAAGTGTGGGAAGTGTGCGAACCAGCTGGAACCGGTGGGAATGCTGCACTCTGGGCAGGAGTAGGTGGGAGTCGAGTTCGGCGTCTGTGGGGCCACACGAGCAGGCTGAGAAAGAGGTGCAGCCTGACATGAGCCACTGGCCAAGCAACGCAGGGGTGAGCCCCCCAGGTGAAGGTGCTTTCTGCTAAGTTTCTGAATAGAGATGCAAAAGGGTTCCTTTTTTGTGCAGATGAGCTGAGGCATTTTTCTTTTCCTGCTATTGGTTATAATTCTAATACATCAACTCCATTTGTCTAGGGAATATGGTGTAAGCACCAAGGTAATTTAGACATTGTATTGATATCATTTTGCCACTTACCAATCTTAAATGAGCTAAGAATTACTATTGCAGCAGGAAAGACAGTAAGAATTTAGACAATTGCTAAAATGTACATTCTTAATTCCTCTTCTATTTCACGACAATCACAGATGGTGGCAGAAATTACCTAGTGCTTTTTTTTTCCTCTCATATGTGAATCTGCAACATGGACTATGCATACCCAGCCCTGGCATTTTCCCACAGAGGAATTCTCTGGCCAACTTCTTCTTATCCAAGCAGATGAAAGAGGTGAAAACCTGTGAACAGTAGTTATGCCTAAGTTTTTCTGGAAAGACATGTCTCATTTTTTTACATTAAACTTTAAGTAAACTCTAAAATAAATATTTAAACATAAACTCTAAAATAATATATCGCTTTCATAAATATACAGAGAACCGTCATATAAGTGAATTTGCCTACAGAAAACACCATAATTAATAGTAAACTCTTATAAAATTCCCTTGAAAGTCAAGAACAGGATATACTCCTTGGTTTTAGAAGTATTGTGTAACATTGCTTTGAAGATCCTAACAAATGCAAAAGTATATGAAAATGATATGAATTAGAAATATTATAAAGAGAAGATAGTTGACTTTTAGCAACAATCAGTTCAGTAGGTGGCTGCATTCAGGATAACAGGTCAATAGATTTCCGCATAGGATATAACTTATTAGAAATACAATAAAAACATGTAGGGTAAAACACAAAAACACAAAAAAATTATCCAGGAATAATATATCTAGCAAGAAATGTAAAGGCCTATATACATACATACATATATATTCATACATACACATGTATACATACATATGCATTCATAGATATGCATGTATATGTATATGATTTTACATTTCTATTTATATATTTAGACTTCTATATATTTATATATTATGTATTATATATTTATATATTATGTAT